>NC_000006.12:2484242-2635757 GCF_000001405.40 Homo sapiens | reverse complement strand
GAAGTACTTACTAAAAATCCATCTTAAGACTCTTTCTGCATTTTGGGAGGCCGAGGCGGGTGGATCACCTGAGGTCAGGAGTTTGAGACCAGCCTGGCCAACATGGTGAAACCCGGTCTCTACTAAAAAATACAAAAAATAGTCGGGCATGGTGGCGGGTGCCTGTAATCCCAGCTCCGTACTCCAGAGGCTGAGGCAGAAGAATCGCTTGAACCCAGGAAGCAGAGGTTGCAGTGAGCCAAGGTCGCGCCATTGCACTCCAGCCTGGGTAACAAGAGTGAAACTCTGTCTCAAAAAAAAAAAAAAAAATCTTCCCCACACATAATGTGGCAGGACAGGAAACACTAGGATTCCTCCAGTTTATGGGGAGATTGGGAGAGCTGAGGCTTCACAATGACACAGCCGGGTATGGAAAACACCAAAAGAAATATGCCTTTTTGGATGACAATACTCCACCCCAATTTCCAAGTATGCTACAACTTTTCCTCAGCCTCGATGGGAGGTATTTACAGTGAGTGGTAGAAGCTTTACTGCAATGCCCTGGTAGACACAGGCTCCACCAGGCTTGGCTTCTACACTCTCACTGGGTCTATGGATGAGCACAGAAGCCAGGTTTCTGGCTCACAGAGAACCTAAGTGCTGAGTTTATATATAAAGTGCACAGTGTGAATAATTAAATATGAAAACGTGTACACACCAAACAGGACATTTTTACTTAATGCCAAAGAAGCACAAACGACCCTTTCTTTTGGGAGTTTCACAAGCATTTCTGCTCAACAGTAATCCCCCAGTGACAGTGATAGTAGTGGTTTCAATATTTTGTTTATAAAAAGCAACATTATAAAATGCCCTGAAAGGTCTTGGCTTCTTTTGTGAGCTCTGAACTATTCAGAAATTCAGCTTGCTATCTGGGGACAACAAATAAATCCCTACTCTAAAAAAATGGGATTCGGGTTTTTCTCCTGTGCTGCTTCCTGGCCTTAACGCTTCCTGGGGACTTACCGTCATTTGCTCAGTTACGGTTTCTATGGGATGAGTGGGGAAGCCGCGTGGTGAGGAAGCCTGGCTCGCACCCGGCCTGCGCTCTCTCGGGCCTGGCCGCATCGGCCACCAGGGGGCAGTGTTGTCATTCGCTGGCGACGCCGCCCCGCCCCGAGCGGATGCCACCCCGTTTCCAGCCTCCGGTGCTCACCGTAAGCTCTGTTATTATTATCTTTTGATTTATAAAGCGCCGTTCCTCAGCAGATTCCCCGCCCCCCAGCTGCTTCCGAGAAAGCTCGCAGAAGCGTTCGTGCGCAGGCGCGGAAGCCCCGCACAGCACGCGGTGGGCCCGGTTCGGGGGGGCGCACGGCCTGGGGCGTCGGGAAGAGGCTGCGGGCAGCGGGGCCTGCGGGCGCGGCGTGGCGGGGCGGGAAAACGGCTCTGTCCCGTGGGGCGCAGGCAGGAACGTGTTCCCATAAAAGACACAGGGAAGACCAACCCTGGGCGTTAGCCATCCAAACCTTCCCTCCCGTGCGAAACCCGCTGCCCTGCGGCCAGGACTGTGAGGGAAGCGATGGGAGGAACCCGGGAGCCCGCGAAGGCCGGGCCCCAGAGTCCGGGCGCCCCTGAGCGGGGCGGAGGGGACAAATAGAACCTTTTTAAGGACAGCTGAAAGAGATTATAAGCGCGGTGTGCTGGGACTTTGGAAAGGGCGCGAGTCATTAGTGGGGGCGAATCAGAGGGGAGTATGTTGACGGGATAATAACAAAAATAAAGAGGCTTGATAAGAAAGACACGGCTTTTGGAGTCAAAGGGAAAATCCGGGACAATGAGGGTTGGCAGGTTCCTGGGACACAAACCAGGAAAAACAGGGCCACACCGGAGCGGCCTGCCTGGCTCCAGCACAGCCGGTGCAGAAGCTAATTTTGTTCCGAGTCCTCCTAGCTCAACAAACATGCCGCCATAGCACCTATTTTCTTTTAGGTAATGCTCACAACAACCTAGCAAAGTGGGGATCATCTTCACCACTGTACAGATGAAGAAATTGAAGGTCAGACATTCAAGGTTATGTGGCCACATGAGAGAAATACCAGAGCTGGGATGAAGACTCAACGGCTCTCAGACACCAGGTTGCTTCTTGAGAGAAGCCGGATGGATGTGCATGCAGGGAGGTGAGCCTCAAAGCAGGTCCAGCTTTCTCCCGTGAGTGTTCCAGTGGCTTAGGGTTAGGGTTAGGGTCCAGAGGAGGAGAGGCGTCCAGAGCTGGGGCCGTCTGCGTTTTGCCTTGCTGTCCCAGAGTGGCAGCGAGGAGTGGCCTGGCCTAGAGGGTCTTTGTCTTATCTTGTGACTTGCTGTTTCTCCTCTGTCTGCAGGAGCTGGGGGAGGTTGGAGAAGCCGCAGCCCAGAAGGGGAGGGAGGACACCATGTCAGAGCTTGCTGGAGCAAGCTTTGGAGGAAGGCCACAGGGGACATTGTCACCAAGGGCCACGGCAGCGTGCACCCTGGGTTAGAGAAAGGGGCAAATTATGGATATGAAAAATGCTTCCCTCAATGAAAAGGACCCTGCTGAGACAGGATGGCTGTGGGCCAAATACCCCTACAGTGCCTGATTCTTTTATCTTATTATTTATTTAAACAAGACCAGCATTTTGCTTTAGATAGAAAATCTCTCTCTGCTACAAAATTGCAAGCCCTGGGAAAAGTCTCCAAGAATGGCTGATGCCACAGTCAAACAATAACATACATGTCGGGGTGAAACAGTGCACAGAGGATGAAAAAAGGGAAAAGCTCGAGGCCCCGGGAGGAAGGAGCTGGGAGGGTGGAGGGCGTGGAGGTGTGAGGGCCCAGAGGGATTGCCCAGGAAGGTATGGAGGACCGAAAATGGATCACCAGCCCTCATGGACAACTTAAACTAAAGGTGGAAAAGACAGAAAAGCTGGCAGGGGGAATTGTCTCCAGCCAACCTGTCAACTTTTGGAAAAAGATGGATCACAAAGAATGGGAAGTGGAAGAGAAGGAGAGGAGAAACCAAGAATAAAGAGCAGACGCTGTGGGCAGAGCTGTGGGGCGCCCATGCTGGCAGAGCTGGGTTCTAGGGCCCTGGTTTCGGCTGTGTAACCGCTTGCCCAGCCCTCATCTCATCCCTCAACAATGAGGGCCTGGCAAGGGAGGGTATGCTGGCCTATTTTTGTCTCATGTATTTGTGGACTCTGTCCAGAAGCTCTGAGATGCCAAGTTAAAATGGAGAAGGTTTGAGTCACCGCCACCTGGCCAGAGCCTCAGTGAGTGGGACGCCAGGGCTGGGGTCGGGGGCTGCAGAGTTGCTGTTGATTCACGCGGCTTCTCTGGGGTCTGGATCTCAGTTTGGCTGTGAGGCTAAGCCCTGAATGGGTGCATAGCAACGTTATTCTGGAGTGCTAACAGCCTACCCTTGCCACCCACGTCTTAGAGACATTAGAAAGTTGGGTACAACATTCCCCACCTCCCTCTGATTTTTCTGGAGTAGACTGTGATGAGGAGATGGTCAGTCTCCAATAAAGTCAGCACCTTCCATGAAAAATGACTTTCCCTGAAAGTTGTTTTGGAGTGTTAAAGAAAAATATCTTCAAAATTCTTTACCACTTTTTGAGCCCGATTCCAGATGTTTGGCATATCCTAAATTATCCACTTTAAGCTTTGATAATCCTAGGAGGTAGATACTGTTATTCCCGTTCCGCAGATGCAGAAACTGAGGCCCTCATTAATGCTGGGACCACTCATGGTCACAGCTGGTGGTGGTGGAATTGGGATTTGAAGTCAGATCTCTGACTCAGAACTTGGGTACTTCTTTCATGTTTCCTTTTCCTCCTTTATTCAAAGTAGCTTAATTGCTTTTGTAAAATAAACGTGAACATCACCCCAACTGCCGCCGTCCAGGGATAACCAGGAACAGTTTAATGAATGTCCTTCAAGACCTCTCTCTCTTGCATTAACTTGAATTCAAGCTTGTCAATACCCAGATTATTCCTTCTTGAAAGTCGGTCCTATGCATTTAATTGAATTGAAGTTGGTGGCTTTTCCTGCTCTTGACATTTGCCTGAGTTGGCCTCGGGATTCTGTAAAGGAAGCGCCTTCTGGGCTGCAGTTTTCTCTTTCCCTACTCCCCGTGGTGTCTGCTCCTCACCTCAGTCAGATAAGACCTTGGTCCTCCTTTCCATGCCCCCAGAAAGGACCCAACTAGCTCTTCCAAAGATGTGCTTGGAATTCCCGGACAGCTAAGGGATCAGCTGCCAGGACGGGGCTGTTGCACGGTTGGCGTGTGGGGGCCAGTGTTCCGTGGAAGGTGCCTAGAGATGGGCCGCCTCCTCCATCTTCCCCAGGCCTCCTTCACCTGTGGGCAGGAGATGTTTGTGACGTTCCTTCCGGTCAGCAGGACTTCAGGAAGAGCCGCCGCTAAGCCTGGGGGCAGGACTAGCCAGGCTCCCTACTGAGGCCTTCTCATGTTCCTGACAAGGCCGAGGGTAAGCTTACTCACCCATTTTCCACCTGCGGAAATGGGTTCATAAGTTCAAACATGCACAGCTGCTGGTGGGTGTCAGGATTTGGGATCTGGGCTCAGAGCCTGCATTCACATCACAACATCACCACACTTCCCTGCTTCCCTTGGCCACATCTCCATCACATCTGAAGGGTTTTGTGTTCAAGGAGTCTTTTAAAAATAACAATTTTTGACCAGGAAGAATTAGGACTGAGCAAGACTTAGTCATAACAAACAGACAGACACATCCACGCTCCACACCCTGGGCTATGTAGATGTGGCCTACCCCCTTCTTTTTGAAGTGCCTGTAAATAAATAAACCTGTGCCAAGCTGAGCTCAAAATTGAGTGGTTTACCCACGTTTGACATCCAGCGCAACCTGTGAAAGCTGTTTTGTTTTTATTATTGTGCAAAAAGTGTTCTAATTACAATATGCTTTTCTGAGTCAGAAGAGAACGGTAAACCATTTGGCTATGGAGTGATATTTGTGAAATCCCACTGGAAGAGATTATAAGCTGATTTTAATGCACTTTTACTAATGGTTTAATAATCCTAAGGAGAACTGACTGAGCCCTCATAATGAATGAAGAATTTTGATGGCAGGATCCGTAAATGCTGATGTTAGAGAAGGTCAATGGATTAGTGAGTCAGATGCTTCCAGGGGCTTGTATGAGTCAGGAAAAACAGGTCATGCTGTGGAAACAAACCCCAAGGTCTCAGTGACGTAAGAAAAGTTTACCTCTTGCTCATTAAAGGCTGGGTCAGGCAGCTCTCCAGGCCAACTCTCCTCGGGTGAGCGGGATCCTTGCCACTTCCATCTTGTAGCTGGGCCGTCTGGAGCCCCTGGCTTCCAGCATTGCTAAAGTGAGGGAGAGAGGGTGAGAGGACTGGCGGGAAGGTCTAAGACCATATTCTAATGTATAAACTAGAATGTATACATTCTACTGTATAAATTTATTCTACCCAAGAGGGACAAGGGCTGCTTAAGAGCTGCTGTGCAGGTCAGATAGAGTCATCACACCTTTATGTTGTGTCTTCATTTTCTCTCAAATACATTAACATATTTTTTTAGAATAGTTTCAGAATTTTCGAAGCAAAACTGGAGTCTGTGATGGTAAGCACTTGTCATTGGATTTAGGGTCCACTCTGATCCAAGATGATCTCATCTCCAATCCCCAACTTAATTATGTCTGCAAAGACTCCAAATATCATCACATTCACAGGTTATGGGTGGATGTATTTTTTTTGCGGGGGGACACTATTCAACCCACTACAACCACCGTCTAGAAAGGACAGATGTTAGCATCCTATCCTAGGTGACCCAGGTATTTTTCATAACAAAATTCAACATTCGAGAGAGGATGAGAAGTATAGTTTGAGGACTTGGCTCATGCCATTGTGGGGCTGGCAAGTTCCCACAGTGCAGGTTTAGCTGGCAGGCTGGGGACTTAGGGAAGTTGTCTTTGAGTCTAAAGACCATCTGCTGGGAACATTCCCTCTGGCTCAAGGAAGGTCAGTCTTTTCCTTAAGGACTTCAAATGATGGGATGAGGCCCACTCACATCATGGAGGATACTCTGCTTTGCTGAAAGTCTCCTGATGTAAATTAATCCATGAAAAAACACCTGCACAGAAACATATAGAATAGTGTTTGACCAGATGTCTGGGTACTGTGGCCTAGCCAAATGAACACCTAAAATTAACCATCACACAACACAACATTTAAACCACGTCCTCATACAAGTTTCCTTCCTCTAGGGGTGTGTTTTTCAGACCACGGTTCACGAACATGAACGGATCACAAAATAAATGTAGTGGGTCCTGACTGGCATTTTATAACTTGTCAGATGGACTTGATCCTGTAGATAACAATTATGACTGTTTCAGTACACAAGTAATACAAGAGTACACAGTCTCTGCAAAACCAAAACCATATTGAGAGACAAACAACACAAACTGATATTGTCAGACTTTTTAAAATGTGGCCATTTTGGCGGGGCACGGTGGCTCACACCTGTAATCCCAGCAATTTGGGAGGCTGAGGCAGGTGGATCGCCTGAGGTCAGGAGCTCAAGACTAGCCTGGCCAACATGGTGAAACCCTGTCTCTACTAAAAATACAAAAATCAGCCAGGTGTGGTGGTGCACGCCTGTAATCCCAGCTACTTGAGAGGCTGAGGCAGAAGAATTGCTTGAACCTAAGAGGCAGAGGTTGCAGTGATTCGAGATCACGCCACTGCACTCCAGCCTGGGTGACAGAGTCAGTGAGACTCTGTCTCAAAAAAATAAAAATAAAAAAAGGAATGTGGCCATTTGAAGGGTGAAAAGGGCACTCCAATTTCTCAATTTGTGTTTTCTTGATTATGAAGAGCTTGAGTGTTTCTTTGATTATTATTGATTAATTGGGTTTCTTCTGAGCATCACATTCTTTAAAGATCAAGCTGGAGTCAAGTCCCTTTTCCAGACCCGAGACAACGTCTGTCCCCTGCCCTTAGAGGCAGCTCTTGGAGTGTTTGGCTGGGCTCCTCCCTGCAGCCCCAACTCCTTACCACGACCGGTCACATTCACACTGAGCATCAAACCTCAATAAGCAATAGTCCTCTAGCTTCACAAATCAACTTTTAGGGACTCTTCCTACCCACAAACATTTCATAAATCTCGCTGCACCTCTGTGACCTACTGATAGTGCTAGGGTGCCCACTTTCCTCTCCTTCCCCCGGCTCCCACCTCTTCCTCCTAGTGCTAGGGTGCCCACTTTCCTCTCCTTCCCTCGGCTCCCACCTCTTCCTCCTACTACTCCCTGGCTCGCTTAGTTCGGCAGCTCAGTGAGGTTTCTCACCCTCAGCACTTCGGACATCAGGGCCAAACACTTCTTCGTTATGGGTGCAGTCCTGTGCGGATATTTAACCGCATCCCTGGCCTCTACCAAGAGGAGATGCCAAGAGCACCTCCTCCCCAGCACTGATAATCAAAATGTCTCCAGACATTGCCAGATGTCCCCTGGGCAGACAAAGTCACTCCCAGTTGAGAACCACTGACTTAATTAAAGACCAAAATTAAGTGCTGGTGGCAGATACTCAGAGAAAATACTTGTCCGTCCAGCAAATACTGAAACCGAAAAGAGAGAAGATATTTGAACGCGTCGCTGACCCACCTGATTCAGTCCCTTCTAGTGTTGCCTGCTTTCTGGTTGCTCTAAATGTTTAGGCTTTGGCCAGGGTTTATTTCTCTACCTGGGTACATATGTAGTAGTAGTTTCAGGAGAAAAATATTATGTTCATGACAAATCGAGAGCAAATATAGAAAGGATCTGTCTTTTATTTCTACGGCAGGAAATGATAGCTACCTAAAGGGGAGGTTTGCTTTAATTTTCTGTCTTTTAAATTGAATTTTCTCTTGCTTTCACAGTTGGGACTAGGCTGCCAGATGTTATTAGTGTATTTTGCCTTTTGATGTTAAGGGAAGCTTAAGGCAACCAAGATAACACAAGAATAAGTCCTCCTTCATCCACAGGTCAGATATATGTCAATCATTACACTCTGAGACCAAGTTGAGATCCTGAAAGAAGCAAAAATATTTTACAAAGTGCCCAGATGCACATCATGGGGTGCATTGCCAGGGTATTTTTGACCTTTACTCACAGGGAGTCTTTCTCCACACTGGGACTCCTGGTTGAGTATAATTCTAACCAGTTTGATTATTGGCTTCCCCTGCAGTCATTAGGAAAGGGTAGATGCCTCAGGCGAGTGCATTGAAAGTAGATAAAAATGACTGCCTACAACCTGATGGAGGAAGACAAAGAACAACAACAAATCTAAGGGGAATACAAAAACATCTCCAGACCTCAGAAAGCTTAGCATCCTGAGGTTACCCCATATTTTGGATAAGGTGTCATAAACACTTCATTCATCCCTGTGAGTGCTATAATGACCCAGCACAGGACTGGATATTTGTAATCATGGCACAAAACTCATCAGACAAGGTTAATTTATGTTTAAAATAATCAGTTCTTATGGATGGTGGTGATGGTAGTACAAGACGAATATACTTCATGACTCTGAACTCTAAACTTCAAAATGGTGAGAATAGTAAATTTTATGTTTTGTGTATTTTACCACAATAAAGAAATCAGTTCATAAGAGAGTTAGGAACTTCGTAATATATTTCAGGAAAAAAAATGTAACCAAAATTTCTAAGATTAAAAATAAAAATGTGCTCCTTCAAGAGTTTGCAAAAGTTATCTTAATGATTCACTCATAAATAGTCTCTCCTCCATCAAAGATGCTTGATAAATGTCACTGGAATTCATTCATTCAAAAAAAAACCAAACAATCATATTTTGATAGAAGGAATTGGATGTCATGATTTTTGGGGATTGGGTCTTATTTTTAACTCTGACAATGAAATATGGCTGCAAATCTTGTGGTCTGATAGTGTGATTTAAAAAAAAAAAAAAATCCCACATTGTAAGGCTGGGCTCACTCTGTGGCCCAGGCCCAGCCTGACTCCTCTGATGAGTGTTGGCTTAGGGTTTCCACATGAATAGCCAGGGTTGATGGATGAATACATTTACTGTCTGGACTGATAACAACGAACAGATTCCTGGTGGCAAGCACTGGACACAACCCTCACAGGCCTCTAGAGTAACCGCGTTGATTCAGCAACATGGCCATTTGAGTTAATTTTATCAGAATGGCAGTGGCTTTGAGAACTTACTCACACAAACCCACAGTTTGTCATGTTCCCAAGACCACAGCAGGTATGGTCTAAGACCGTCTGTCGAATGAGAAAATTCGTCATTGTCTGTTTCCTGCTCCCTAGTCGTTAGCAATATGCTTTCCTGGACATTTTTGCTTTTCCACATTGGAATGGGAAAAAAATCTGTTAGGAGAGGCACTGAGTATTCACCAAGAGATGGTACTGTGTTTGGAAAATTAGTTGGTTTGTACAGATCACCTGCTTTCTGGTAACTGCTTTTTAAGATAGATAGCTTTGACTATTTTGGTGGGGAAGTTTGCGCTGAAATTCTTACCTTTTTTGTTTGTTTTGCGTAGTGAGAACGCTAATATTCTGTAAATGAGTCTAAGCTACATTTTACTTGATGCGGGCAAGTATTATAGATTCCTTTAAGAGCCTTCATTTTTATCACATGCAAATCACGCAACCCATTTTTCAGTTAGGGTAAAGGAAGCTCTAAGAATAGGCCGAGATCTTCCACTCAACGGGTAAATAGAATTTGGACAAGAGTTTGAAAATATCAGCCATCAGTTTGCTGGGAAGTTTTGGGCAGCCAACTTGGATGGAATTCTCTGAGAAAAGAAAGGATTTTTTTCTGAATCATTTCCTTAGGAGGGAACTAACCACACCAATTTTAGTCTCAAACTTTCTAAGTTATTTCTCAAAGTCTTTGGAGGCTATTCAAACCAGTTCCAAAAGTTTTTATAAAGTCGAAATGGCTCTGAAATCTCCTGTCCAAGTACTGAGACATATGCTAAATGGATAGGGTGTGAGGCAGTTTTCTGAGAGTTTGTTTGGATTTCAGGAAGTGGACAAGATAAGCTGAATGGCCTTTTCCTGCTCTGACTCTTAAAAAAAAAGAAAAAAGAAAAAAAATCTCACCCAAAGATGCTTGAAAGAAACCATGGACATTTCCTAACTTCAAAAGAGTAGAAAATCTGCTAGGAAGAAAAGAAAAATCACTATCATAGGCCCAGGATGTTGCAAAGACGAATCAAAACAGGAATGCAAATCGGGACAGAGCTGGAACAAACATACAAGTCTTGAGGTTGTATTTTTATGTGCTGTTTGTTTTTGTACGAACTTCCCTGTGAAAGAGGACGAAACAGAAACACACCTGTGTGGTCTGAAGGGTTTCCCTTTTCCTTCTGGCCTTGGCTTCTTTTCTTTGCCATTCATGTTCAGGAATAGAGATAATCTCGGCGGTGAGGGATGTGCCATTTTGAAGATTGTCTCAGCGCAGTTTCTTGTTGGGAACATAGATGATTGAGAGCCCGGTGCATTTTTGCTATTTTTAATTAAATGAATGGCAGCATGCTGCTATACTCATTGTATGGCAAACTTCAACATGGGTCGATTTTCCAGGGGGAAAAAGCCACTGCATTTGCTTCCTGGGCAGCTCCAAGGGTGAGTTTTCACTTCTGCAGAAACATGAATGCATCGTGTTCACCTTGTTGGAGGTATTCAATGTCACAGGGCTCTTTGGATCTCCCAGCCCTATGTCTAGGCCCATCTGGCAGGCTTGGGGAGCTGCACTGGGCTCTTCTCTCAGGAACAGGAAAGAAAATTTGGATCCTTCAGTCCTGGGACAGAGACTCAGAGGATCCCAGATTCCCCATTCAACAACAAGCCCTCTCTCAGGCCCTCAAGATGAACACGTGGCCCGTTCTCAGTGCACCATGCTAGAGTAGAAACCTGTGGTCAGGAAACTTGGGATGAAATCCCGCTACTGGGGGAAATCTGCTAACCCCTCTGAACCTCATTTTTCACTTGCATCAAAGGGGATAAAGTGTCCTGCTTCTTGCCTCCGGACTGTGGGCATTGGTGGGATTGGATTGGGTCATGGGGAGCCGTGGGGTGGCACTGGGGAGCTGCATCAGCCACCAGCATCTCTGAGGCCTTTGCTTTCTCTGAGGGAAGGCCCAGTTTGATTTAGGTCCTGAGAATCCCAGAATGGCCATTTCTGGAAAAATAACCAAAAGCCCAGATTTCCCTTTTAATTTTATCGCACACAGGCCAGCACTACGCATAACAAAATATTCCATTTCTCAAAAGGAAGTCTTAGAATATTGGACGAATGCACTGTGTGACTTGACTTCATTCACAAAGCACCCATGTCCCTTGGATCCCTTCCGCTCTCCCTCCCGCCCCCACGCTGCCCTTGTTCTGGGAAATTCAACTCTCCAGGAGTAGCCAGCACAGAGGCCTGAGCCCTCCTAAGGCTGGGCTCCCAGCAACGCTAGTCGTTCACTGTCTGACTTTAAATTCTCTGAGCACTCGTCTGCTCGTCAGTAAAATCCAGAGACGAATCTGCTGTCTAGGGCAGACATGAAATCAATGTAAAGCGCCCGAGCACGGGCGTGTGGCTCTGACCCACGCTCTGCCTCTGTCTCCCTTTTCTGCAGGGAAGTTGCCTCTGAGGAACGGCCTACAGTGGCTTACAACTCCCGGGAGGGATGTGGAATCTATCCCCCCAACAGCCCATGAAGACTTATAAAAGCTGACAGATGCAAGGTTTTCAGCCATGCCTTTGATAAGATACTATAAAAGTAAAGTAGCTTCTGCCCTAAAAGCTGAGCGCTATTTCCAGAAAATCAACAATGGAAATGATAGGCATTTCTTTTGAAACTGGCACATTCATAATGGACATAGAAGAATCAACATAAGAAAGTAGCAGGTATTGGTCTTTCCTGTGGTCCCTGATGATCTATCCACTTGACCTCTTCAGGAACATTCCCTGGAAGCAGGGGAAGTGCTTTGCTTCCCTGTCTCCCGAGGGAGAAAGGGCATTTGATGGCATGGAGCCACTCTGCCAGCCAGGAGCCAGGCCCGCTCTAAGGGGGCTACAGCATGCCTCAGATTGCTACAGGCTCCTCTCCCCTCCCGGGTCCGGCCTTGTCGGCACCAACCCCTCAGTTCCTGCCCCATCTCCCCACTGCGGTTGCTGTCAGGCCTGGAGCATTTCCTCCTTCACTTTCACGGGTCCCACACCCTTCAAGATCAACAGTGACCAGGCCACTCCCTGCCATCTGAGAAGCCCAGAAACCATCTTCCGTCAGAGGGAGATTAGCAATGAAGCTTTCTGACGTCTCTCCCTGTACCAGGCTCAAAAGGAATTTCATCCTTTCTTTCCATTCACTGCAATGAGCTCTCACACTCATTTGAAATGTGCGGCCTGATGACCCACACACCTCTCAGGGGAGCCATGGCCCCACGGCTGTCTCCCCCTGAAGATGTCGTCCCTGTCTGAGCCCCTCCTCATTACAGGAGAGAACGAGCACCTGCCAGCACCGGCAGCCCCTCGATCCTAACCTCAGATGGCACCCTTTGGGTGCGGAGTGGGAAAGGAAGAAGACTCAGCTGGTGAAGGCTCAGTACTTTTCCTTTTCCGCAATCACTAAGTAATTTTCTCATCCTTGAAAGCAATTTTCTGCTGAAATTCAGAAAGAACTTATTTTGAAGTTACGCCAGTAAAAGCTCTGGAAACTGTGATGGGAGCTTGTGCTGGAAGCCGAGGACAGAGCTCCATGCTGATTCTCCATTCCTCTTATTTATTTGCATGATCTGAGCTAATTTCTCAGCTGTAATCTACACCACCCACCACCTAGAAACTTCCCAGAAACGTCCAGCAGGGGAGGGGTGGGAACGAGAAAGAAAGCACCCAACGCTCTGGCAGGGTCTGCGCAGCCGCCAGACTCTGTTTCTAGACGGTCACGGCCGACTTAGTAATTCACTTAGAAGATCTCCTGAAATAAGCACAAAATGTTGGCAGCAAATGGTCAAAGGGAAATGCCCCAGTTTTCTTAGGGGACGGACCCTGTTACTTTATCAGATAGCAGTGTGAGCTGAAGTGTGAAGACAGGGCAGACACTAATGGTATTTTGTTCATCCTGAATTTTTTTTTTTGGCATTAATTTTGATCTTTAAAAAATATTGCATTAGGAAATGTAAATGCATATGAGTAAGTGAAAGAAACCAATCTGGAAAGTCTACACACCGTACGATTCCAGCTATATGACATTCTGGAAAAGGCAAGAATAGAGAGGCAGTAAAAAGATCAGCAAAGAGTAAAAAATAAGTCGGAAAGGGACAAATAAGGTTCTTAGGGTGTGGAGACTACATCTGTGTGATAGTACGATGGGTGGGTACATGGCATTATGCATTTGTCCAAACCCACCGAACGGACAACACCAAGAGGGAACCCTGCTATAAACTGTGGCCTCTGTGCGATCATGATGTGTCAATATGGGTTCATCAGCTGTGACAAATGAACCCCACAGGTTGGGGATGTTGACATGGGGGAGGCTGTGCATATGTTGGGGAAGGTGATATGTGGGAACTCTCTATACCTTCTGCCCAATATTATTGCGAACCTAAAACTGCTCTCAAAAATATAGCCTAAGAAAAAGTAACTTTAATCTTGGGAGTTATTGTTTACTGGGTACAGAGTTTCAGTTCTGGAAGGTGAAAAGAGTTCTGGAGGTAGATGGAGGTGATATTTGTACAACAATGTGAATACTTAGTGCCATTGAACCGTACACTTAAAAATAGTTCAGACGGCTAACTTTATGTTGTGTATGTTTTACTGCAATTAAAAAATGTTACTTATCTTAATGACTGAGTTTTTGGTGCTCCCTTAAACTTTGCACTGACGGCAAGTGCCTCACTCATTGCACCCCAGTCCCAGCTACACCTTTCCTGACTCCAGGAAGCTGAGGCTGTGGGTGTCAGAGGAGAGCCAGCCACATCACTGGGAATCACCTGTTTACACTTTACACAGTCAGCGAGCTGTTTTGTTATATTTTTCTTAAGACACAAAATCTTAAGTGCCAAAAACTTGTTATATAAATATGACTTCTATCTTAAAACATATGAAGGGCTCTCCTTTTAGACCTCGACAGACAAAATTATTCTTGTGTGTCTGGCTTACTTTTTGCTTTTTGTACATCAGTGATAGAGAATGAGAGTGAGGTGGAAGGAGAAAGACAAATACAGGAAGACACAAAGGTGGCTGTGTTTGTTTTCTATTGCAGAGTAATCAATGACCACAGATTTAGGGGCTTAAAGCAATACACACTTCTCTCTTCTTTCTCAACTGTTTCTGTGGATCTGTTTCCATTTTATTTTATTTTATTTTATTTTATTTTAGATTTGGGGGGACACATATGCTTGTTTGTTACATGGGTATACTGCCTACTGGTGGGCACTAGGCTCCTAGTGTACCCAATACTCAAACAGTGAACATTGTACCCACAGGTAACTTTTCAGCCCTTGCTGTCCTCCCATACTGTCCACTTTTGGAGTCCTGAGTGCCTATTATTTTCATCTTTATGACCGTGAAGCATCTCTTATCTCACAGTTTCTGTAGATCAGAAATCCACACGGTATGGCTAAGTTCTCTGCCCAGGATAAAGGCTGAGGTCACGGTGTCAGCTGGACTGAGTTCTCGTCTGGAGGTTCTGGGGGAAAATCTGTTTCCAGGCTCTTTCTCGTGCCTGGCAGAATTTGGTTCCTGTAGCTGTAGGGTTGAAGGCCCCATTTCTCTGCTAGTTGTCAGATGGGGGTGCCCTCTGCAATTGGAGGCCCCTTCCTTGCATGTGGCCCCCCCATCTTTAAGTCTGCAGTGGCGCACGGAAATCTCATGTTCCTTCCACTTCAGACCCCCTCCACCTCGGGCCTCTACACCCAGGTGTGAAAAGCTCGTGGGGCTGGTGAGGCCCACCAGGCACCCTCCCTATCTTGTCAACTGATTTGGGACCTTAATTACATCTGTGAAACCCCATCCATGCCTCTGAGAACACGAAGGAGAGCAGTGGATTCTTTCTCTGTTCCTGGTCAGTGTGAACCCGGGCCAGGACCACCGGCATAGGTGATAATTGTGACAATTTCTTTTGAGATCAGATTACTGGCTGACTCTCTCCCCTCCTGTCAAACTCGGCCCCCAAACCTGCCTCACATGGAAGTGATTTTCAGAAGTTGAGTAACTGGGCTCCAGAGGCAAACCCCTTACTAGCTAGTTACAAATACCATTTGGCATCAGTTCCCGCATATTCTCAAAGCATGCAGTATATCTTAGTGACATGCGTGATGATTGCGCTGTGATATGGGTCATAGGTGCGTATCATGCTAATGGAAATAGTACAAAGAGAAGGAAAAGTGTGCAGATTACCAAATTTGAGATTTGGGTTGGAAGCATTAACTAACATTTACTTTTATTCTCTCCAAAGAAAGGGGCTCTGTTAATAGTGTAAATGTGGTAGAATATCTACCTACTTACAGTAATAAAATACTCTAAACAATTGAAAACCATCTCTAGGTAGTTCACATACTAACTACAAACCTTGAGCTTATTAAATGAAGTTCTTGTTGCTGCCTGCCTGCTCAGGCACCGAGAAGGCAGCTCATCCTGCTTGATTCTTCATTCGTTTATTTTGGATAAGATTGGCTACTACCATCCAGAAAAAGGATAAGGAAAGGTTTTCTTTCCAAAAACAGGGTCTAGGGTGGGATGGATGTATGGTCTTTCTCTTCTCTCCGCATTCCCAGTGACTTTCTTCTGTACTGAGTCCCTTGTTGTAAAGCAGGGAGCCGCTGCAGTGCCAACCTTACCATTGAATGTGAGCCATTCAGTCGGCAGGGCACACGCTTCCTGGGAGCCGCCCTCGCTGCTGTCCTTCACCTTTTAGCTGTTTTCCATTAGCCCCAGCCACTGAAGTCCCAGCCCTGCTTTCGTGGTTCTCTGCGTACTGCTGGCCCCTATCACCCTGGAAAAGAAGGCATTTTTTGGACAGCGTATTATTTCAAACTGTCTTGTGTCAAAATTTGCTAGAATTCCTCCAACTACTATGCACAGAGTTTGCCTATCTTCCTTACCGTCCTCTCCTCTTCCTCCTCCCCCTTCTCTTCCTCTCAAGATTCTCTCAGCCTTTTGTCAGCTCTGAAATGAGCCCCATTTTGATAGGTGCACTCAAGTTCTCCCCCAGCCCTGTGGTTCCATTACTTCTGTGGCCAGTGGATTTTTCCATCCCAGTCCATCCTGGCGTCTCTTCCTTTCATGGCGTTGAATGTTATGGGATATTCCAACATTCTCTACATCTCTGCTCCAAGTCTCTGCCATTCGGCTGGGTTGGCATGTGGTCTAGGAACAGCAGCATATGCATCCCTCGTGGTCTGTTCACTCTCTCACGTCTCTCTGATAGAATATTCCCATGGCTTGGAAATATGGACTCCTAGTGAGGCAATGATACAGTGTCCCAGCTGGCCATGTTTCCTCCCTGGGAAAGCCTGACACAGCTGTGCATGGAAATGTGGTATTTTTGACATATTAACCCATGCATGCTTCTTCCCTCTGCATCTGTGTTTTCCTCTTGCTCTCAACTCTAGCAGATATCTGCCAGGGTATCCTCATTGTCTCGAAGGAGGTGATGTCAAATCACAAAGAAAAATGGTCTAGGAACACTTTTGGCTTTTCAGTACAAAAACTGTAAGTCATTAGAGAAGAAAAGAGTTAGGATACAGGCAAATGCACTGGCCAAGAGCTGGAGTGTATGATGTACAGATTCCCCCACAGACTAGAAGAGACTCTATGAGGCTAGGAGCACAGTGGGGAGGGAACCGGCAGGTTTTCCAGGAGACCCCAGGTGGAATGGTGCATTTGGGCCACTGAGCCATTGGTACCTCTCCAAGACTCCAGGGCCCCTGTTGTGGCCAGAACTGGAGCTGCTCAGCTGTCCTGGAGGCCATGGGAGGGACCCACCGATTCCTTCCTAGTAGTTTTAATGGAAGAGATGTTTGCTGCGGTATTAAGGACTTAATTAAAAATACCATTAGCCTGTGTCTAATGACTACTCTTGCTTGAAAGTAATCATATCGCTTTTTTACGAGGCTATAATTCAGAATTTTCATTAACTTAAATCACCCTTCTTGCTAACTATTTGGAAACGATGCAACTTTCCTACAATTTTCTAGCAACAGAATTTTTTAAACACACTGATCAACCTTCGTCTGTACATTATGTCATGCTGGGTTATGGCAGGAGTCCTTTAATGTGACTTTGGAGCTTTTACAAAGCATCCTGGGAAACCTGCCCTATTTTGACTTAAGAAGAGCAACTCTGTCTTTTTACCTTCTTTTCCAGCAGAACCACCTTACTCCCTGAAGACATAACCAACTTGCTGAGCCAGTTGAAGATGGCCGCACACTCTTGGCCACCCCTTATATTGGGAATGGAATCTACTTGCTCTCCCTTAGAATCTGGGCTTTCATCTGGAAAGTACAGAGGGTTCTCAGGCCTCCTGCTCCCTGCAAACACATTCTCCAATTATTACATCTCGCACTAAGGGTAGTACAGCCATTACAGTTAAGGAGGTTGTATCAGTGCATTATTATTCACTAAAGCCCCCGTTTACATTAGGATTCACTCTTTGTGTTAAAATTCTATGGGTTTTGATAAATGTATAATGTCCAGTATCCACGATTACAGTATCATACAGAGCACTTTCACTGCCCTAAAAATCCTCTGTGCTCTGCCTGTTCATCCCTCCCTCCCTCTAACCCTTGGCAACCACTGATCTTTTTGCTGTCTCCATAGTTTTGCCTTTTTCCACAATATTGTATAACGGGGATCACACAGTATGAAACTTTTGCAGATTGGCTTCTTTCACTTACTAATATGCTTTTGAGGTTTAGGGGCAGTATTTTAATGCAGCAACAGATAATCAAAATTCTTGGAATATCAGGAAAATCCGTTTACCAGTCACTGAGATAACCAAAAAATTAACAGAGGCAAATTAATCATTAATCATGACTTATAAGAAAAGGATTATTTTCTTGACATTTCAGTAGTCTTGGTTATATAGTTCATTTATCTAGAGACATGTTTCAAGCCACTAGCTTGTTCAGAAATAGAAAATTTATTTCATGACTGTCACCAGATTATTCTCTCTAGCTTTTAACATTTTGGTCACTTTCCTGTATGCCAGTCACTGTGCTTAATGCCTTAGCTGCATTTTCTCAACATTCTCAGTAATCTCTCATTTCAAAGAGAAAAGACTGGAGGCTTAGAGAGGCTGCACATCAAACATCACATATTCAGCAGGTGGTAGAGTTGAGATATGAGCCCGGGTTGGTCTGCATCCAGAGTCTATGTTTTAACACTTAGCCTCTTATTGAATATATATAGGAAACATTATTTTGCATACCCATAAGTAGAGCTGAGGAGTCCCCTGAGCCTGGGTGGATCTTCAGAATGTAAAGTCACTCTGGAAATTCTGTCTCAGGTCTTGTGGCATTGTCATGCCCCTTGATGTTTCTGCCCCTTGTTAGGTCGTTTTGCTCCCAGCTTTTTCTATCTGGTGTGTTTCTGCTGCACGAATACACAATGACGTTTAAGGCTTGGAAAGGACAAAGCATGAGAAAATCCTCAAACAGACTGACTTCCTCAGGATGCTGCTTCCGCTTAGAAATGCCTGGGAGCCAATAGTGCCCACCCACGGCTTAACTTTAGGCTCCCTGAATGCCCACATTCCCTAGGGAATCACTGCATGATGCTTGTAAAAGTCAAACTGCCCTCAGAATTAGCCACGCCATTGCAAGGACGGCTTGTTCAACTGAGATCATTTTTCTTCACTGCTTTTTGCCTCAGGCTAAATTGGGAAACCTCTGTGTATTTTGTTCATCCATTGCTATAAAGGAATACCTGAGTCTGGGTAATTTATACAGAAAAGAGAGGTTTATTTGGCTCATGGTTCCGCAGGCTGTACAGCATGGTGCCAGCATCTGCTTTGCTTCTGGGGAGGCCCCAGGAAACTTACAATCAAGGCAGAAGGCAAAACAGGGAGGTGGCATTTCACATGGCAAGGGAAGGAGCAAGAGAAAGAGGGGAAGATCTCAGACTCCTTTAAACAATCTGCTGTCGTGTAAACTGTTATAAGAGCGCCAACAGAGTGAGAACTCACTCATTGCCATGCTGAGGGCACCACAGCATTCACGAGGGATCCCCTCCCGTGGCCCAAGCCCCTCCCACCAGGCCCCACCTCCAACCTTGACACATCAGTATCCAATTATCTATCAAACATGCTTGGATTCTTCTTTTTGTCAGATACTGGAGAATGTACAAGTAAACAAATAACCATAATACAAGCCCATGAGTGCTAGAGTGGAGATCAAGATGGGTATGATGGGCCAGGCATGGTGGCTCACACCTATAATCCCAGCACTTTGGGAGGCCGAGGCAGGCGGATCACTTGAGATCAGGAATTCGAGACCAGCCTGGCCAACGTGGTGAAACCCCATGTCTACTAAAAATACAAAAATTAGCTGGGCATGGTGGCAGGTGCCTGTAATCCCAGCTACTCTGGAGGCTGAGGCAGGAGAATCGTTTGAATCTGGGAGGTGGAGGTTGGAGTGAGCCGAGATCACACCACACACTCCAGTCTGGGCAACAGAGCAAGATTCTATCTCAAAAAAAAAAAAAAAAAAGATGGGTACAATGGTGGCACAAGGGAGGGATTGATTAATTCTGTCCCAGCATCAGGGAAGGCTGCACTGAGGAGGTGATGCTTGAGCTGGAATTCAGCAAGTGTAGAAGAGATGTGTTCATGCAGAGAGGTGGAGAATATCTAGTGAGATGGGAGTGCAAACAGGTGGCCCACCTGATGAGCACTACTGTCAGGCATGTCTGGAGCCTTTTTTGAGGGAAGGATGGGAATATGGGATTTGAAAGGTAGAGGCTAAGGAGCAGGACAAGGAGAAGAGAGCACAGAGCTAATGTACATTTCAGATATGAACTTGAGGAAGCATAATGTTTGCATATTAAAACCTTTACTTCTCTCCAGAATGTCAGAAAAATTAATTTAAAAAAAGTCTTTCTCTACTCTTCTTCTTGTCCTTGACATCATCATCAAAATTCTTAAATGGAGTGTTGTTTATCCTACTTTTTCTTGGCTACACACACACACATGCACGTTATTTTCCCTACAGATGCAGGAAGTTCAGCAGCTTGAAAGAGAAAAATTTAACTTTTAAAACAAAGAGTTTCCTCCACTGAGTTTAGAACCCAGGAAAGTGTGATGTGAGTCATTGGTCCCAGGCACATCCTGGCTCTGCCACTGACTCGAGGGGTGGCCCTGGCAAGTCACCTGAGCCTCCTGGGCCCCAGTTACTCCATTCAGAAAATAATAAAATAGAGGCCAATGATCGTTATGATCTCTTCCAATTCTTTAACTGAATGGCAATTTCCTCAAATTTACTGACCTACACACTAAACACCCTTGAGAATCAGTTGCCCTCTGATTTGTGGACATGGTATTCTATGTGCTACAACCTCTTACCTAAGTCAGTTGGGATCTATTACGAGAAAGCCAATTCTTAGGTCCCAGGCATCTTAGCTACCAAAAGGGAAATGCTGGCGTGGTTACGTCTCTGTGGCCCTCGGTGGCAGGCCTGCTTCATGAAAAATCTGTCCATGTTTATTCAGTGCATGGAAAGCAGAGGTCATGGGCTACATTTTTTCTTTAGCAAGAATGTTCTTTTGGAAGGAGTTGTCAAAATATCACGTTAATTGACAAACAAGGAGTTACATGAAGTATATACAAGCAGAACTGAATAATTCTGGCTGTGCAGAGATTTCAAACAACAGCAGAGGGGCTATTGTAGTCATTACAAAGTACAGCAAGGCTGATGGACTCTCACTTTTATAAACTTTATTTTTTTACATGTGGCCAACAAGCATATGAAAAAAAGCTCAAATATCACTGATCATTAGGGAAATGCAAATCAAAACCATAATGAGATACCATCCCACACTTGTCAATGGCTATTAATAAAAAGTCAAAAAATTACAGATGCTGGCAAGGTTGTGGAGAAATGGGAACACTTATATGCTGTTGGTGGGAGTGTAAATTAGTTCAACCACTGTGGAAAGCAGTGTGGTGACAGCTCAAAAAGCTAAAAACAGAACTAACATTTGATGCAGCAATCCGGTTGCTGGGTATATACTCAAAGGAATAGAAATCTTTCTATCATGAAGACACATGGACGTGTATGTTCATTGCAGCACTATTCACAGTAGAAAGACATGGAATCAACCTAAACGCCCATTAATGAAAGACTAGATAAAGAAAATGTGGTACGTATACACCACGGAATACTATGCAGCCATGAAAAAGAATGAGATCGTGTCTTTTGCAGAAACATGGGTGGAGCTGGAGACCATTATCCTTAGCAAACTAAGGCAGGAACAGACAACCAAATACAGCATGTTCTCACTTACAAGTGAGAGCTAAATGATGAGAACTCATGGATACAAAGAGGGGAACAACAGACACTGGGACCTACTGGAGGGTGGAGCTGGGAGAAGGGAGAGGAGCAGAAAAAATCGCTATTGGGTACTAGGCTTAGTACCTGAGTGATGAAGTAATCTGTACATTCAACCCCCTGACAGGAGAGCAAATGTGACTAATTTTAGGAACAAAGTAAGATAGCTCAAAAAATCTCTCTTCAGAGGAAGAATTTTAGTTATATTTTCGAAATCTTCCTGAAATAGCACCTCCAGAGTTAATGTATCAGAGTGTATTAACACTACATCTTAAGTATCAGGAACATTTTTTAAAAGGGCAGGTAATGAGAGTATCATAATAGACATCTTTAACAACACTAACTTCTTTCTCTTTTCTTTCTTTTTAATCTGAGATGTTATATTTTTAGAGAAGAACCTTGAGTAGTTTGTAAAAGCTCAATTTCCCAAATCTTAAAATAGTTGGTCTGACAATGCTTAGCAACCCTGGCCTTCTCAGTGGCCTCTGCAAACCATTTCGCCTCTTATTGTTAACCTTTTTTGGTGATCATTAGCAAACCTCATTAAGTCAGACAGTGTCTGATTTACCATTTGTGGAAAGCAGAAGAATGGCCCCCAAAGATATCCACATCCTTGTTCCTGAGACCTGTGAATATTTTATCTTATGTGGTAAAAGGGACTTTTCAGGTATACTTAAGTTAAGGCTCCAGAGAGGGGCAGATGATTCTGGATTGTATGAGTGAGTCCCATGTAATCACAAGGGTTCTTGTAAAAGAGAGGCAGGAGGGTCAGAGCCAGAGAGAGTGATATGGCCGTAGAAGCAGAGTTTAGAATAATGGGATGTGAAGACTCAACCTGCCATTGTTGGTACTGCAGATGGAGGAAATGGACCACAAGCTGAAGAACTCAGGTGGCCTTTAGATGCTGGAAAAGACAGTGAAATGGATCCTCACCTGGAGCCTCCAGAAGGAAAATCATCTTGCTGATGCTTTGACTTTAGTATAGTGGAACCCAGTTCAGACTCTGACCTCCACTCTCACACAACAGACTCATGTTTTTTTTTCTTTATGTACATATATATATGTATTTTTATTATACTTTAAGTTCTGGGGTACATGTGCAGAACTTGCAGGTTTGGTACATAGTTATACATATGCCATGGTGGTTTGCTGCACCCATCAACCCATCATCTACATTAGGTATTTCTCCTAATGCTATCCTTCCCCTAGCCCCCCATCTCCCGACAGGCCCCAGTGTGTGATGTTCCCCTCCCTGTGTCCATGTGTTCTCATTGTTCAACTCCCACTTATGAGAGAACATGCGGTGTTTGGTTTTCTGTTCCTGTGTTAGTTTGCTGAGAATGATGGTTTCCAGCTTCATCCATGTCTCTGCAAAGGACATAAACTCACCCTTTTTATGGCTGCATAGGATTCCATGGTGTATATGTGCCACATTTTCTTCATCCAGTCTAGTGTGGAGATTTCTCAAGGATCTAGAACTAGAAATAAGATTTGACCCAGCAATCCCATTACTGGGTATATACCCAAAGGATTATAAATCAGACTTGTGTTGTTTTAAGCCACCAAGCTTCAGGCAATTTGTTATAGCATCAGTAGGAGACTCATATACCCTGGGACCCTCAGTGTAAGCCTACCACCGGGCAGAGAACGTGTGCTCAATGTTTATCAGAAGAATACATGGTCCAGGATGAAAATAATACCTAACACTACTTAGCACATAGCAGAAACTTCACAAAAAGTATGCCATTCAATCAAATCCCTATGTAACTGATATTATTATTATCCTTATTTTTAAATGAAGGGGCTGAGATAAAAAAGGTTAGATAAGTAGTCCAAGCTCATGCAGAGAGTAAGTGGCAAGTCGAGATTTGAACCCAAGCAGGGTAGCAGAGCAGATATGGGTGTAGGCACTGAAACCGGACAGCCTTGGGTATGTTCAGCTCTGGGCAGGGCTAGGCACAGTGGCTCACGCCTGTAATCCCAGCACTTTAGGAGGCTGAAGTGGGAGGATTGCTTGAGGCCAGGAGTTCAAGGCCAGCCTGGGCAACATAGAGAGACCTTGTCTGTACAAAAAATTTAAAAATTGGCTGGGTGTGATGGTACATACCTGTATTCCTAGCTACTTGGGAGGCTGAGTCGGGAAGATTGCTTGAGCCCAAGACTCCAAGGCTGCTGTGAGCTGTGAGCCCTGCTCACGCCACTGCACTCCAGCCTGGGCGACAGAGTAAGACCCTGTCTCAAAACAAACAAACAAACAACCTCTGGGCAAGGTGTCATGCTTTGGTCTTCTCATCTGTAAAATGGGAATAGTAACAGTCCCTGCCAGAGGTTATTATAAGGGTTAAATGAATTAGTCCAAATAAAAGTCATGGAACAGAATTTGGAACACAATGAGGGCTCCATAAATGTTAACTACGATCATTACAAAGACAAAGCTTGTAAAGAAGGTCCCACAATCACTAGATGAGGAAACATGTGAAGCCACTTTGTATGTCTAATGTGCATAGAAATGTAAATTGTCACTATTATTCTTCTTAATCATGATTGTCATCACATATCAGTAAGTGGCACAGGAACTTGTCCGCTATGATCAGGAGAATGCAGTTTACAAAATCCAGAACTAAAACTGTAAATGTACCTATAACACTTGGAGAAGGGGAGAGAGCTGATCTCAAACTAATTGATGTTAGTTTAGGGGGATTTGGTTTCTTGAGTTGATGCCTATTTCCTACCAATACGTTGGACACAGAATGACAACTGGGTAGAAATCCAGTTTCCTAGTCCCCCACACCACTCAGCTGGTCCACACGAAGCCAGCTGGACTGAGGGTGGAGATTTCTTGGTACCATTTACCAGACTCTGAGACACTCCTCAGAAGGAAGTTAAGATATGAAAACATTGACAGTGATGAATCACTTGCTGGCCAGGCTGCAGCAGCAATGCTGGGATTCAGAGCAATCACTGCCACCTGGAGCCTCATGAGAGGACATTGCTTGTGTTGCTCCAGAGCCCTATTATGGTCATTTACTAACATTTGCAAAGCTGTAAGTGAAAAAGTTATCAAGGGAATGAGAAGACATGCCACAGACTGTGAGAACATACTTGCAAAAGACACATCTGAGAAAGGACTGGTATCCAAAATAGACAAAGACTCTTAAAACTCAACAATAAGAAAACAACTCAATTAGAAAATGAGCCAAGAGACCTAGCAGATCCCTCACCAAAGAAGGTATACAGATGGCAAATAACTGTATGGAAAGATGCCCCACATCACAGTCATCAGGGAAATGCAAATTAAAACTATGAAATACCAGCACACAGCCGTTAGAATGGCCAACATCAAATGGTGAGAATGTGGAGCAACAGGAACCCTCATTCATTGCTGGTGGGAACGCAAAACAGTACGACCACATTAGGAGACAGTTTGGCAGTTTCTTACAAAACTAACATACCCTTATTATATAATCCAGTAATCATGCTACTTGGTATTTACCCAAAGGAGTTAAAAACTTATGTCCACACAAAAACCTGCACACAGATATTTATGGCAGCTTTATTCATAATTGCTCAAACTTGGAATCAACCAAGATGTTCTTTAGTGGGTGAATGGATAAATAAACTGTGGTACATCCAGACAATGGAATATTATTCACACTAAAGAGAAATGAGCTAATAAGCCATGAAAAGACATAGAGGAGCCTTAAGTACATGCTGCTAGTTAAAAGAAGCCAATCTGAGAAGGCTCCATACTGTGACTCTAACTATGTGTCATTCTGGAAAAGGCAAAACTATGAAGACAGTAAAAATATCAGTGGTTGCCAGGAGTTAGGGGGAGGGAGGGATGAATAGGTGGAGCACAGAGGATTTTTAGAGCAGTGCGACTACTCTGTATGATACCGTAATAGTGGATGATATCATTATACATTGGTCCAAATACCAAGAGTGAACCTAATGTGAACGATGGACTCTGGGTGGTGATGATGTGTGAATATGGGTGGGTTCATTGACTGTGACATGTATGCCACTCTGGTGAGGGTGTTGATCACTGGGAGGCTGTGCAGAGGGTATATTGGAAATCTCGTCACCTTCCTCTCTATTTTGCCATGGCCCTAAAACTGCTTTAAAAAATTAAAGTCTTAAAGAAGACTATGTAACTTTGTAATTCTACGTCCAGTATCTGTTTAGTAGAAACAGTGGGAAAGGAAGCACATGTGTGGATAATCCTGGAGAAAATGGAAAGAACCCAAGAAACCTGGACTTGGCCAAAGAAAGATGGAGCCCAAGAGTTTGAGCCCAAAGAAAATAACAAAACAATCAAGGACGAAATTTACCTTCAAAGCTCAGACTGAAAACGAAAACGCCCAACGTTCAACCTTGTTTTTTGTTTTCTTTTCTCAAGGCAGATCCCAGTCAGTGTATTTGCTTCTACAAAGCAACATATGAGGTTTGACAAGCAAGAACCCATTGTTAGGAGTGACGGCTCATGGAGAACACTGAAACTACACTGCTGTTATTCTGACATTTTTAATGCCACTGCTTTTCTTTCAATCCTCAGACATGTATTCATCATATTAAGAGTTCAACATATCAGATCTCCCGGCAGCAATGGTAAGAGTGTGGGCAGTAAAATTTGGCAAACTAAAGGGAAAAAATGTATCTTTCACCATTCAAAGAAACACCACAGCAGCTCGACATTAGATTTATGGAGTTACCCTACCTGCTTTTCCCCAAAACTTAATGAAACTTTTCATAGGTCTTTCCAACACACAAGAAGCTGTTAAGAATTCATGGTCTATTTCGCCTCTCAGAGAGCCTAACAATACATATTCCCTTTTACATTGAATGTTGAGTGTTTTACTTTTCTCCACATTCATCCTCTCTCCAAAACTAAACCCTCTGCCCCTCCTGTGGCTGGAAGTGTCTGCTCTATGGGTGACCTCTCAGCTACAGCCTCAGTCTCCTATGGCCTCCTCCTCTTCCTGCGTTTTATGGATAGTCTGTCTGTTCTATTTTTTTAAATGCTGCATAGGAAAATCTACATCTGACCCCATCCTTCCAATGATTGCCTAGTTCCTTTTAACAAAACTTTTATAAGAGCGTCTATTCCATGCCATCTCAAGAAATCTGTCTTTGATTCACCTCATCCTTCAGCACACCAGACAGGTGTTGGTGTTTTGGCTTATATTTATTCTACGCCTATTTTCTCTCTAGTCTTGTGTGAGTCTGGGTGTCCCTCTAGCCTGCCCAGATGACTACTATCATTCCAAAGGAATAATATTGCCCCTGCTGTTGCCCCAGATTTTCTAGTGCCATGCTACATATACAGTAAATCAGTCAGACATTAGGTTGATAATTCCCATGGGCAGGCAGGCAGGCAGTCTCTTCCATTCACTGCTGTACCCCTAGCACAGTAAAGGGCACATGGTACACCCTTGACAAACCAATAAACGACTAGAGACATGGGTACTCCATGAGCACATACAAAGAGACTACTAGGTCACAGAGCTGTGTGATGAGCTCTGGGTTCTAAGCCAATTTTTACTGGATGCCAAAACAATCATTCCGTTTAATCAAAAACTCAGCTAAGTAAATAAAGTAGCTTTGGATGATAACTCAAAGTATAAAATAAATAACCACGAACTCATACGGATATCAACAAATGATTGAAAAAATAAATGAATTGAAGAAAAGAGACAAATGTTCTGTGCAGAAAATTTCAAATAATTTCTGTAGATACTCTGCCCTCAAGGATGGGGAGTATTAACTCCCCACCCCATAAATGTGGGCTGCAGATAATGACTTCCTTCCAAAGAGCACAGTATGGAAAGTGGGGACATAGAGGAACTTTTCCTCTAGGTGAATGTATTTGTCGAATAAATTTTTGGAAAAAGAAGTTTGGGTCAAAGGGCATTTGCATTTATAATTTTAGTAGGTATTGCCAAATTCCCATAGAAATTGAAACCAATATATGTTCCCATCAGCTTTTTTTTTTTTTTTTTTTTTTTGAGATGGAGTTTCATTCTGTTGCCAGGCTGGAGTGCAGTGGCATGATCTCGGCTCACTGCAACCTCCACCTCCCGGGTTCAAGCGATTCTCCTGTCTCAGCTTCCCAAGTAGCTGGGACTACAGGTGTGCACCACCACGCTCAGCTAATTTTTGTATTTTTAGTAGAGGTGGGATTTCACCATGTTAGATAGGATAGTCTCGATCTCTTGACCTCATCATGAGCCCGCCTTGGCCTCCCAAAGTGCTGGGCCCTTCAGCTTTTAATAAATGTCTTTCCTCTACTCCATTGCCACCAGCATATTAACCTGTTAGGTTTGTTTTTTTTTTTTAAACAACCTGGGAGTTGGAAAATGAAATCTCAGTATAGTTTAATTTGCATTTTAATTATCATGAGTGAGGCTGAGTATCTTCTCACCTATCTAAACTTCTGTGATCTTGTCTGGAAAGTGTCATTTTCCCAATAGTTGGTCTTTTTTCAATTGACTGTGGGAGCTATTTAGGTATCAGGTATTCTTTGACGTTGTATGAATTAACAAGTACTTTCCCCATTTGTTGCCTTACAAAGGCCACTATAACATGGAATTTAGATGTATTGCCAACTGACTGTGTTGGATCCATTTAAACACTTTGTTTTTATAATTAAAAGCCGTTGGTAACACATACTGTTTCATCTCCTGAAATGACTTGAAGAACCATATATTGAGATATAAATATAAATGTTATTTTGATTCTTTTGGTAGCAAATAAGTAGGATTCACCCCCCCACCCTGCTCTATTTTGTAGAAGTTTTATTAAATGCCTATAATCCTATTCATTAATTATAAAAATAGAATAACAGATAAATTTAAATATTTGCTCTACATAAACCTATTTTGAATACTCTGGCAAGATCTAAAGCTTGTTTACTAAAAAGCCTTGGTAAAACCAACAAATTATACATACCTCATGAATATAGTTTTCAAGAGTTTTTTGCTCCACAAAAAAAGATCTGCTATTAGGATTTAATAAAATTTTACTGAAAAATATATACTGCCCTTTCTGGGATTAAGCAAGCACCTGGCTGCTGGCTGACACTTCAGGGGACATCAGCATCAGCTCTGTTCTCCGATGTTGTGTGTGGCTGGGCCTCCACCCCAGAGCTTTGCAGATACACAGTTCAACAGCGATGTTCCCAGTAGCTCGACACCAGAAAGGGACAGTGATGGGGCCTGTTCCGTCACATCACGGCATCTCACCTGCCCTCCTGCTCTCTACCTGCATCGAGGAGTCTCAGAGAATCCCACATGACATGAACCTTGAAGCCTCAGGGGTAGGCCCTCCAGCCCCTGAGCAGAGGCCGCAGAGTTAACGTTTTGAAAGTGGTTTTCTGTTGCTAAAAAATGTGTGGTTTATCACAGCCCTAAAAAATGTCCAATGATTGGGATTATCCCCCTTCTCCTTTCCTGTGTGCCTTCAATTAGCTGAATGAAAGCAAACCCGTGGCTTTAGAACCTGAAATAGCTGGAGAAAAGTGATGCAGATTTCAGGCGAGATGAAAGAGTGGAACCCAGAAGCCTAATTAAAAGCAACTGAGAAACCAGTATTTGATACGGCGTTCACTCACCTGAAAAAATAAACCAAGAGCTCCAGCAAGCTTTGCTGGAGGGTTGTCGGAGAGGGGCTGAGACGTTGCACTCAGGTCACAGGAAGGCCCGACTCGCAGGACACAGAGCCTCACTATTTCTTTCCTCTTGGAGTCAGGGGAAGGTCAGCCAGCCCGCCGAGGCCACCAGCCCGGCCTGCTTGACAATAGCCAGTTAGCCAGCAAAACTTTCCTCCAAGGTGGCAAGGGTGACAGCTATCCATCCCCAAACGCATTGCTTTTTTAAAAATCTTGAAATGTGCATGATTTGTTCAACATCACTTTCCCCCTGATTTTCCCTGCTTCTTTTTCTTCTCACACTTCTCTTCCTCCTGCTTTTACTACTCCCCATGTCATCTTTCTTAAATGCAGGGCATTTCTGTACATTCAGCTTATGGTTTGTTTTTGATGGCAGAAACTATCAAGGACTCACTGAAAGAATTAGTCCTCCTTTACCAAGAGGAAAATTCTCTTGGTTTTGAGATAAATCAAGGCCCAAGGTCAGTCAAGGGAGGAAATAAATAAATGAGCCTCTCTTTCATACATTGCATATTTTTAAACCTACAAATCAGCCCCCCGAATGGAATGCTGGCATATAAAAGCAGCATTTGGGATCCCGCTAAATGCAACTGCCATCACGTCCAAGATTTTAGTTGGAGGCAAGAAAAAGGACTTAATTTTAATTGCTGGGGGAGACGTCCTTCATTCTTTTCCTTTCCAAGTTTGATATTCATGACCTTGGGTAGGATGGGAGGTGGGGAATGTGGAAAGATGGATATGGGGTCGCGGTGGTTTTATTACTGTAAGTAACTGAAACAACAGCCCCGTTTTTGGAACAGTCTGTTCAGGAAGCAGAGACTAGATGCTTCCCCCTCAGTGGGGTCACAGTTGGCTTTTCTTGACTTCACGCGTTGTCGGATGGGATCCACAGTGAACTGAGGTTATCAACACCGAATAGCAGCTACCATTTCACATTGCAGGATGCACTTCAGAAACCACACACCAGCGCGAGGATCTCACATGGACATTACTGTTGTTATCTCTTAAATGCTTTGGGAACACCAAGGACCTCTCACTTTGTTGGGTATTGTAGAGAGGTTTTATAGGAAGTGATGAAAATATGGCCTTTGTCTGTAAGGAGTCAACCATCTTAAAGTAACATGTTTATATAAACACAAACATTCACCGTTGTTCCCAGAGTTCACTTAGGTTGGTCATCTTCCTTCCTTCCCTTCCTTCCTTCCCTTCCCTTCCCTTCCCTCCTTCCCTCCCTCCCTCCCTTCCTTCATTCCTTCCCTCCTTCCTTCCTTCCTCCTTCCCTCTTTCCTACTGTTTCTCTGCCTCTCTGTGTATTTTCTTCTTTTCTTTTCTTTCTTTCTTTCTTTCTTTCTTTCTTTCTTTCTTTCTTTCTTTCTTTCTTTCTTCCTTTCTTTCTTTCTTCTTTCTTCCTTTCTTCTCTCTTCTCTTTGTGTCTCTCTCTTTCTCTTTGCCTCTCCTTCCCTCCCTCCTTCCTTCCTTCCTTCTTTCTTTCTTCTTCTCTTTCTTTCTTTCTTTTCTCCTCCATTCTGCTTCTATCTTTCCTGACCTGGTTTCCCATCATGAAACTTCTCTGCCTTAAGCTTAGGGCCAGCATTTAAAGATCACCCTCTGTACAGTACAAGAGGCTATTTGCTTTGCCAAATGATTTCTTGCTTCTGTTTACTTTGGGGACCTCACAGACAGATTTAATCAATTGCATTTATCAGTATAATCTGTTCAAGGCTCCTCTCCTGCTGTATTGTTTTCCCTTTTACCCCTGATTTCCTGGCTATCCCCCTGCTTCTACCCCCAGACCCAGTGTAAGGTGTTTTATACAAGTCCTCAAATAACCAAATAATCATGGATTTTTTTACATAACATATTGGGCTGTTTTGTATGTGTATGTGCTTTAATTTACATAAAGGGCATTATGGTGTACATTGCATTCTTTTTCTTACTTTTCCCACACGTTCTGTCCATGTTGATGCAGAGAACATCACAGTGCACACAGGCCACATGGGCCTCTGCCGTCACTCCACATGCATGGCAGTGGCTGGCTATGGGAAGGGACTTCCTTCTAGAGAGACAAGATGGAGAAATCAGAATTATTGGTCCCAATTGGGCCAGCTACATAAAACAGCAGGTGATATGAGGGCAATCTGTGTAATTTTTTTTTTTTTTTTTTTGAGACAGAGTCTCGCTCTGTTGCCCAGGCTGGAGCGCAGTGGTGCGATCTCGGCTCACTGCAAGCTCCGCCTCCTGGGTTCACACCATTCTCCTGCCTCAGCCTCCAGAGTAGCTGGGACTACAGGCGCCCCCCACCACGCCCGGCTAATTTTTTGTATTTTTAGTAGAGACGGGGTTTCACGGTGTTAGCCAGGATGGTCTCCATCTCCTGACCTCGTGATCCGCCTGCCTCTGCCTCCCAAAGTGCTGGGATTACAGGCGTGAGCCACCGTGTCCAGCCCAATCTGTGTCCTTGAATAAATGTATCACCCTGGTGGGAGCTAACTGAATGCACTTGGGACCCCTGCCACATGCCCATGTGGCTCCCCGGAATTCCCTTCACGGCAGGTGCCACAGGCGTAATTATACCATTATTGTGGTGCTCATTGGTGAACATCTGAGAGCTCCTAGCGGACGGGTCTATGTTCCCTGGTTCACTGCTGCATTCCCAGGGCCTGGCTTAGCGCCAGGCTGATGTGGGAGAATCACTGGAAGCCAGGAGGCACAGGTTGCAGTGAGCCGAGATCATGCCACTGCACTCTAGCCTGGGCAACAGAGTGAGACTCCGTCTCAAAAATAAACAAATAAATAAAAACAAAAACAAAAGAGGTGACACTAACTACTCATAAGTCATAAGGTTGTTTCAAGGATTCTTTGCAGCCTTTTATGCCACTCTGGCTGAGTGTTGCCATTTTTTATTGGGCCCCCAAAGTGGGAGTCTTTGTCCTTAGATTCTGACATCCCTCCAAGCATGACACCCCATTTACATGATGCCTTCTTTTAGTTCCCCAGTGTCCCCTTTTCTCCAGCAACCGGAGGTGTACAATGTTGCCCCCAAAAGATCCTTTCCAGTAGACCATCATCAGCACCCCTGACTCCCCCTCACTCTGGTCTTGCTGAAGCTCTCTCCTGGGAAAGGTGGATTCTCCGATCAACTCTACAGGGAGTTTAAAAGGGCAAGCTCTGTGGTGACCACCTCCGGGCTTATTTCCTTGGGATGAACTTCAGGAAGTGAATTGTTGGCCAAAGAATCTGTCTTTTACATACTGCTTGCAATAGCTCTTTATATTTAAGGACGCTGGTTCTGTATCTGGAATACATATGGCAGGTATTTTTCTGCTTTGTGAAGTGACATTTCATTTTGCTCAGGAGATTTATGGAATTTATCACATGCAGTCAGAGATACTGGTAATTTAGTTTACAATCCCCGACTTCAATGTTGTTTTTAGAAAGGGCCGTTCAAACACCCAAATTATATAAATATTTAGCTAAATTTCTTCTACTACTTGTAAGGTCTCATTTTTAACACTTTATCTCTTTAATCCATCTGGAATTTATTTTGATATTTGGAGTAAGGTAAAAAGCTTAATTTTTTCCAGATAGGTAAGTAGGTTTCCTGGTACATTTAATAATCTTTCCTTTCCTTGTTTATACGAAGCGCCAAAGTTATCTTATATTAAATAATGATATGCACTTGTGCCTGTTTCTGGATTTTTGAATGATCTTTCTAAATCTGCTCTGTCTCTTTTTACATTAACAGAAACCTGTTTTAACTATGTAGCAAAATACACATTAATATGTAATAATAAAAATACACTCATCATCATTTTCAGGTATTGTTATTAATTTTTCTTAGTTATTCCTCCCAAATTATTCCTCAAGTTTAAATTTGTAATCACTTTTTAAAGTTAAAGAAAATATTGGGGTTGTGATGGAGATTGCATTAACACTTTACGTTCCATTTGAGGATAATTTACATGGATGTACTATATCTTCTCACTCAGCAACATGATCTGCCTTTCCATTTTATTGCCTTTTTTTTTTTTTAATCTTAATAAAGTTCTTGGCCAGGCACAGTGGCTCACGTCTGTAATCTCAGCACTTTGGGAGGCCAAGGTGGGCAGATCACCTGAGGTCAGGAGTTCGAGACCAGCCTGACCAACATGGTGAAACCCTGTCTCTACTAAAAATACAACAATTGCCCGGGCACAGTGGTGGATGCCTGTAATCCCAGCTACTCAGGAGGCTGAGGCAGGAGAATCACTTGAACCTGGGAGGTGGAGGTTGCAGTGAGCCGAGATCGCGCCGCTGCACTCCAGCCTGGGTGACAAAGTGAGACTCAGTCTCATAAAATAACATAAAATAAAGTTTTTAAGGCTTTTTTCTAAATAAATACCTTCTATATTCCTCTTAAAATAAGTTTAATTTGTAGACAGTTCACATTTTTAAAGCTATTGTGAACATTTTGCAGTTCTGTTTAACATTTTCAACATATTTCTTTTTCATAACTCTCTGCTGCTAGATGCCTCATTACAAGAGCTAATTGTCCTAAAATATTTTAGGCAATGTTCGACTCATTTGTTAGTATCTGTGAATAGCTCTGAATTTCCTTATCCCTGAGGACAATTTTCTGTCACTTCACCAATATTTACTCCTCTGTCTTCACCCTGTTGCTTCTTGACAACAGTAAATAGGAGTGGTCAGCATGAGCCTCCTCTTCTTAACTTTGATAGAATTGGCTCTAACTGACACCATCAAGTATGATGTTGGCTGTTGGTTTGAAATATTCTTTATCATATTAAAGAAGTATCCAGTTTTGGCTTTCTGAAAGTTTTCATTCTGAAAGGATGTTGACTTTTACCAAATGCCTACAGTCTATCTGCTAAGACCCTTAATGGGGGCATCCTGTGTTCATCTGCTTTGATCAGAGACACAGATTGATTTGCTGCCATTAATCAGCCTTAAGTTCTAGAATAAACCCTACTTAAGCGTGAGTTTATGCATTGATATTCAAAGTTTAGATTTACTTATAGATTCTTTTCTTTTTTGCTCCTTCTGCCAGTAAAATTACCTGATGTGACTTTCCTATTTCTACATGTTTTTAAATTATTCATTATTATTATTCCCTAAAAGCTTAAAAGAACTTGCGCATAAAAAAAGTGGTTTATAGAACTTTTTGAAGCAATTTATTTGACATCTTTTCTCAATTTCTTCCATGGTATTGGTCTGTTCTAATTTTCTATATTTCTTTCTTCTCAATTCAATTGCATTTCAATTTCCCATTTTATTACCACAGAGTTATACATAATTCTTTTTCATAATATAATTTTCAAAATGTGAAGGCTTATTTCTGCCTCTGTGTTCATAGACATCTCAGTCTGTTCAGGTTGCTGTAACAAATCACCATAGAATGAGTGGCTTATAGACAACAGGAATTTATTTCTCACAGTGCTAGAGGCTGGGAAGTCCAAGATCGAGGTGCTGACAGATCCTGTACCTGGCGAGGGCCCTCTTTCTAGTTTGCAGATGGCCATCTTCTTGTTGTATCCTCAAAGGCAGAAAGAGAGATAAAGAGCTCTCTGGGTTCTCTTGGTAAGGGCACTAATTCCATCATGAGGGCTCCTCTCTAATCACCTCCTAAAGGCCCCACCTTCTAAGACTATCACCTGGGAGGCTAGGATTTCAACAGGTGAATCCTGGGGGATGCAAACCTTCAGACCAAAGCAATAGAGGACATGGCTAACATGAAGAAGAATGAGGGAAGAAGGTAAGACATCTCTCCAGGCCTCAGTGAGATGCAACCCTGTGGTGCTGAGAAACCTAAGGAGCCAGAGGGTTCTAGTAGCTCAGCCCTGTGTCTCGATTGCTCACAATGAAGATGGGGAGGTGTATGCTGTGAAAGCCACACACAGCTTGGTGTAGCCAGGTTGGCCCAGGGTATGCTGCAGTAACAAGCACAATTTCTCACTCACGCTCCATGTCTTATCTGGATTACAGACAGGCTGTGCTCATCAAAGTCCCCCAGGGTCCCAGGCAGACGAGGCTCCTACAGTTATCATTGGCCATGGACAGGATGTAAAGAATAGTGGCCTGACACTCACAGCTTCTGCCCAGAAGCAACACACACCACATCCTCACCTCCATTGCCAAAGCAGGCCTGTGGCCATAGTTAACTCACAGAGGGTGAGGCACAAACCTGCTCTGCACTGGAAGTGAGAGCAACAGCACCAATGACTACCACTGGCTCTGAAAAAATCAGCTTCACCTACTCCCTCACGTTGCCGGAGCAATGTCCACCAGCTTAGACTTCTGCGGTTCACAATTTAACCCCCAAAGTGAGTGATGTAGTATGTTAAGGTTTCTGGAAGAGAAAAGGAGAAATATTTTGGGGGGAGTTGGGGTGGATGTTGCCTTTTCGTGCTCATCAAATCATTCACCAGAAGTGACTGCTGACTTTGCTGGGATGTGGCCATATAAGAAAGGACGCCATGACCTTGGGTAAGCATGAGAACCATGAGCTAATTAAAGAGCATTTCCAACTGTCAACTGGTGGTGTCATTATAGGAATTATTCATTGCAGTTAAGGACATCTAGAGCTTTCCCAAGATGGGGTAGTACAATGGTGAATTACATGTGTCAACTCGGCCAGGCCGTAGTACCCAGTTGTTTGGTCAATACCAGTCTAAATGTTGCTGTGAAGGCATCTGTTAGACGTGATTAAGATTTGAATCAGTAGACTGAGGAAAGCAGATGACCCTCCATGATGTGGGTGGGCATTATCCAATCAGCTGAAGGACTTAGGAGGAAAGGCTGAGGTTTCTGGAAGGAATTCAGTCTGACCGCTGCAACATCAATCTCCTAACTGAATTGCCAGCCTGCCTGCCTGACAAACTTCAGACTTGCAGGGCCCCACAACTGTGTGAGCCAATTCCTTAAAATAAAATTTCTTTCTCAATGGATAGATAGATTAGACACAGAGAGAGAGAGAGAGAGAGAGCAAGCAATCCTATCCGTTCTGCTTCTCCAGAACACCCTGACTAATGTAGGAGGCCCCACAAGAGGCAATTATTTCTTGTTTGCAAGGCCACTCAATAGAGATGCTGCAGAAGAAGTGTTTGGGCATTTCTGGGGTAAAATTTGGTAAATATTAAATACTCTGTCCTCAGAAGAAACCCATACACCCATCCATTGTATGTGCACACACTTTTGCTTATGATATTAGTGAGTTCAGTCTCCCGGAAGCTTATTCCCACCCTTTCTGACTAACATGGAACTGTGATCCTCTCAACCCTGCAAAGTTATTTTGTGTCACTGAACCATCAAAGAACCTTCCTTTTCATAGTTCTCCCCAATCTCCCATGACTTTGTTGCCTCATGCACCACACACAGAAGAGATGGGTGTGACCATGAGCGTGGGGAGGTTGAACAGTGCTGGCGTTGGACACAGGGCAGGAGCAGTGAGGGGCAGGCCCACCTGCAGGGGGCCCTGCAGTCAGCCACACACGGCGCCACTCCTGTTGCGGTCATGTCACCCATGCCACCATTGCTGCTGTGTGCCTGTGTGGCTGCCCAGGTCTGTAAGACAAGTAAAAATGATCACCAGGACAAAAGAATGGCTTAAAATATTTCCACTTAAGAGAAAACAAAAATAAATGTCAGGACCAATCCTACCCATGGACGAGGCCTTCAGACACAGAGGCCACCAAAAGCTAGCTCCTCTCCCCAGCACTTGGCTCAGATAGGCCCTGCCCAAAGGGAGCGCATGGGCACTGAGGAAGGTCCGGTGACCCCCAGCGCGCGCACACACACACACACACACACACACACACACACACACACACACAACCTGTGGCTGTGTGTGGCTGGGCAGTGGACACTAAACTTAGGTTGCCTTCTCTTTGAATAAATACAGTGTTTGTGCTTCCACAAGAGTTAGTTCAAAGCGTCCTCAAAGAATCATCCTAATATTATAATGCTCATGAAATCCAAAATGACAGACCCACTTTTTTTTGTTCATATTCAGACAAAGAACAGAAAGGTGAAGTGACTTTCTCAGAATTAGAAGAGAGTACTGAGAATAGAACTGTGGTCTCCTTGCTCTAAGTGTAGAATTAAATCAGTCTCCGAACCTGACGTATAACTGGCCCTTGTGTGGACTTTTTGATCCCCTCTAATTCTCTAATGTGTGTCTCAGAATATTTTGGATCTGGCTTTATTTTCTTAAAGCAGTAAAGGACCTCCTTATGTTTCCATTCACTTTATTTTAACAGCATTTTTTTTTCTTTTAATGATTTTTTTCCCCCGGAGCTGTTTCTACGTGGAGGAAGTGCGGTATAGCATCTAGAGGAAGCCATATGTCTGTGGTCCATTTTCTTTGACTGGAGAGACTGAGTGGTCTCAAATAAAAAAACACTGCTTGCCAATTGTCAGGCAGGCAGGTCAGGTGATGAGGAATTGGGGTGAGGGGCTGTGGTCTCCGTGGCCCCTAATCCCTCTCTCTCCCACAACCCCTCCCACCCATAAGGGTGTAACTCTCTCACTGGCTTACATGGAGCCTGCATCTCTCCAACATAACACTTCTCACAGTTGCAATAAAACAGTTGTGTGTGTAATTAATGGTTTAATACTTGTCTCATGAAAACATGACCTATGCAGGCTGGCATCATGGGCAAAGAATCTGTGCAGCCGCACAGGGTCCCTGAAGGGACCCTCACTGGATTTAATGCTCTGCTGTTGCTGTCTTGAATTTTTTTTTTTTTTTTTTTTTTTTTGAGGTGGAGTGTCGCTCTGTCACCCAGGCTGGAGTGCAGTGGCGCTATCTTGGCTCACTGCAATCTCCACCTCCCAGGTTCAAGTGATTCTCCTGCCTCAGCCTTCTGAGTAGCTGAGATTACAGGCATCTGCCACCACACCTGGCTGATTTTTGTATTTTTAGTAGAGATAGGGTTTCACCATATTGACCAGGCTGGTCTCAAACTCCTGACCTCAGGTGATGCACCTGCCTCAGCCTTCCAAAGTGCTGGGATTACAGGCATGAGCCACCATGAAATTCTTGAAATAAGCCTGTCTTTAAATTCTTAGCAATTTTTTAAGGGCCCTGCAAATCAAGCAGCCGGCCCTGGACCTAAGTCCGTCTTGTCTTTGTTGTGTCCCGGGCTCAGCACCGTGTGGACAGCAAACACACAGTGATTGTTAAAAGTTGTTACTGAATAAACTCATGAAGATGAGCAAGGACAAACTTGGTTATTTCAGTTAAGGCCGATTCTGGAAGAGGGGAAGATGAGCAACGCTTCCAGAGTTCTCAGGAGGCTGACTCTGACATGGGGGTTTGTGTATGAGAATCCTCAGGGAGTCCTCAAGCATTGGCCAAGGTACAGGTTGGGTGATGCAGTCACACAAAGAGTGCCTGGGCCCCCATGCAGGCTGGCAGGGCCCTCGGGGTGGCTGGGGCTCAGTGACCAGAGGCAGGTTGGCAGGAAGGAGGTGTGCTTCCCAGCAAGGCGGCCCTCCAGCCTGGTGCAGTGGTTCTCAGCCGGGGTGATTCTGCTTCCTGGGGACATTTGGCAATGTCTGTGGGCATTTTGGGTTGTCATGACTTGGGGAGGGCTTCCAGTGGGTAGAGGCCTGAGAGGCTGCTGAGCACCCTCCAATGCACAGCTGGCCCTCCACAACAAAGGACCACCAGCCCTGAATGTCATCAGCCAAGGGCAAGCCTTGCATGGCTGGGCCTTACTTCTTCCCAGACATCTGAAGGCAGCATTTCCATGAGCCTGGTGGGCTTGATTTCCTGGGGGGAAATGTGTAAAAGGACAAACCACAGCCCCAGCCACTGCAAAGGGTGGGAAAGCAACAACAGGTGTTCCCCATTCCAGGATTCCCCATGCTCACCGGGCACCTTTGCTGGCCTTGGTGGCTCACCTAGTGGCACCGTCTCTCGATGCCAGCCCTGAGAGGGGCTGTAGAGCCCTGTAGAGCAGCTGGAGTTCATTTCTGGCTCACACTCATGCACTGTGTGATCATATCTCAGCATTGCTCCTCCTTCTTGAGCTGGCCAGGAAGGACCCCTCCCCATAAGGGTCTAGAGGTGCTTGAGGGAGAGGCACTGCTGCCACCCAGTGGGCGGCCTGGGGTCTGGGCACCTGCCCAAGTGGCTCCCCCATGCCTCCAGCCTTGCACACTCTCATGTTATGATGGATGACTTGGCTGGGCCCATCCAACCTTACAACCTGGGGGGATCTGAGAGAACTTAGCTATGATGGGCAGTTCTGGCTTTAGGGTCACTTGGTGACACAACTTTGGCACTCTACCAGGGTCTCCTAGCTTACTGGGAGTTGTTTTCCATGACGTGTATAATTCTCCTCTTCGGGTGGCACGGCCCTGGTCTAAAGCCCTTGGGACTATGTTGGAATTCTCCTACTGGGGCTTGTCATATATTCTATGTAGCATCTTTCCCCACAGATACCCCCATACCACAGAGTCTGCAAGGTTGTATGGCTAAGTGACACTTCCTTGTTCCACATCTTGATCTCACTCCACTCAAAGCTGACATCCCTTTGCTTTTCTTGGTATAATGGATTAAACTGTCCGCTCCATGCAAAAGAGGTATCCAAGTCCTAACCTCTAGTACCTGTGAATGTGACCCTAAAATAGTCTTTACAGATGTCATTAAATTATGAATCTTGAGATGAGATCATTCTGGATGTAGGGTGGGTCCTAATATAATGACAAATGCCTTTATAAGAAAAAGGAAAGGGAGACCTGAAACATATAGAAATACACAAGGAAAAGGTCACATGAAGATGGGAAAGGGAGATCTGAAACATACAGAAATACACAAGGGAAAGGTCACATGAAGATGGGGGCAGAGATTGGAGTGCTGCTTCTACAAACCAAGAAATGCCAGGAGCCTCTAGAAGCTGAACGGAAGGATCCTTCCCTAGAGCATTTGGAGAGACCATGGCCTTGCCAACACCTTGATTTTAGACTTCTGGCCTCCACAACCATGGGAGAGCAGGTGTCTGTTGCTTTAAGCCCCCCGTTTGTGGTGATTGGTTACAGCAGTCCTAGGAAATACCATAATACTATATGGCTAGGTATGAAGGATGTTGTCTCCATGGCTTCTCAGGTGCTATGCCTCCTTCATGGCGGGAGGTGTAAGAAGCAGTAATGTGTCTTTAACTTTGGAGGGATGTCCTGGCATTCCCAGACTGCTGGATCTTATAACTTTTATTGATGTGGTGGCCTCTAAATTATCATGGAATTTATCTCCCACCTCATAGAGTGCATGGGTCTTACTATAGCATCCAACATACTTGCCATATCTTGCCTATCTGCTCTAATTAGCAAGCAGTCATCAGCACAGTGGGCCAGTGTGAGTTTCTGCAGGTGTCCAATGTCCAGGCCTCCCCAGGCTATATGATCATAGAGGATAGAAGAGACATCATGGCTCTGTGGCAGAACCGTACGTGTGCAATCTTGTCTGATCCAAAGGAATGTGTATTGTTTCTAATCCTTTAGGCATAGAAAAGAGGATCAATGGCTGTATTGTTAATCTGCTTCTGCAAGATGCCACATCTGGCACTGCAGCTGCACTTGGGGAGTGCCTTGGCAGAGTTTGCAGTTGTTCACTGCTGTCTTCCAAGACCTGTCTTGTTCTTCTGGGGAGTGACTGGTGGGTGACATGGAGATTTGATAGAGGACTATTAATTCCAAGTCCTTTAGGTTTTGAAGGGTGGCACTCATCTCTGCCATCCTCCCAAATGCAATACTGTTTCTGACTTGCTCCTTTCACTGGGGATGGGCAGTTTCTGAGGGTTCAGCTTGGCTTTTCCTGCCCTGATAGCCGATCCACAGGCCCATGAACCAACATGAGAGTTGTGCCAGTTATGAAATATGTCCATGCCAATTATACACCCAGGGACAGCGAAGATGACTACGGGGTGGGTCTGTGGGTCCTGTGGACTCCTGTAGCCCAGACCTGTGCCAGGACTCCACTTATTAACTGGCCTCTACATGCCCTGCTCCATCAAGGTAGCAGTGGGGACATAATGACATTCGGGATCCCTGGGTATTAACATCAATTTGGGTCTTCTGTACAATCATCCTCAAAATAGTTGGGCATTCCCATTTCCCCAGTGTTCAGTTGTCTGAGTGAACAGCCATAGCTCCCTTTACAGAAGGACAGGAAATGATTATACACACTTGTCATGGTGCTGTAGGTTTTCATCCCATTGGCCTGGCCCTACTTCAGTCAATGAGTGCAAGACTAGAAAGCAGGCAAGGGGATCTTGACACTCTCTTTTTTTCTGAGATGGAGACTCACCCTGTCTCCCAGGCTGGAGTGCAATGGTGTGATCTCGGCTCACCACAACCTCTGCCTCCTGGGTTCAAGCGATTCTCCTGCCTCAGCCTCCTGAGTAGCTGGAATTACAGGCACCCACCACCATGCCCGGCTAACTTTTGTATTTTTAGTAGAGACAGGGTTTCACCATTTTGGCTAGGCTGGTCTCGAACTCCTGACCTCAAGTGATCTGCCTGCCTTGGCCTCCCAAAGTGCTAGGATTACAGGCGTGAGTCACTGTGCCTGGGCTTTTTTTTTTTTTTTTTTTTTTTTTTTTTGAATCAGGGTCTCACTCTGTTCACTCTGTTGCCCAGGCTGGAGAGCAGTGTTGCAATCATGGCTCACTGCAGCCTCAAACTCCTGGGCTCAAGCAATCCTCCCACTTCAGCCTCCCAAATAGCTGGAACTACAGGTGTGTGCCACCTCACTGGGCTAATTTTTAACATTTTTTGTAGAGATTGGGTTTTAGTATGTTGCCCAGGCTGGTCTTGAACCCCTGACCTCAAGCAATCCTCCTGCCTCAGCCTTCCAAAGTGCTGGCATTACAGGCATGAGCCACTGTGCCCAGCCAGATCTTGACTTTTTATGGGGATGGCTGTCCTCAGCCTCTTGCTTATCCACCCTTGATGTCTGTTGTTCTGATTTGAGCAATCAGTGCTCTTGCTGGCTGCTCAGCCTTCTTGCCTCAGGGATCTAGCCTCTGTTACCACAGTAGCTGTCTACAGGGCAGGCCTCTGGCTGCCTCCAGTCTTGCCACTCCCTAGGATAACTGATGCTGAAGCCCTCTCACCTGACCTCTGCTGTTCCAGCGGCCTCCTCACCAGTGTCATCAGGGAACCTGGTTCTGTGACAGCCCTGCCGGGGTTATCCCTGGCCTGATAGGAGGGCTGCCACCGAGCTTCTCCGGGAGGCTGGTGCCCTCACTGTGGCATTCCTCAATGCTATCCTAAACAGAGACTCCTCAAGTCCCTCCTGCAGAACGTGGTCATCGGGTGGGTTTTCTGGCCTTGCCTAATGTGGCTAGTCTAGCAGGCCCATTTCCTGAGGCTGTGATCCTTTCTTCTACCATGAGCTGTGGAAGTTTGGGTCTTTCCACCTCACTTGACGTGGACCATCACTGGTGTGCAGCACCATCTCCAGGGTCAAGTCTTGAATCAGGAAGCATTCCTGTGTATCCATACAGTCCTCCTCAGCCAACTTTGGCTCCAGCCTTCTCAGCATCCAGTCCCATCTATACTCTCCCAATCCCTGCCAGCTCACACTGGCTGGGTCCTGCAGCTGTCCTCAGAATAGGCCCTAACCTGCTCCCCAAGACCAGCACACCTCCAGCCAGATTAGGCTGTGACTTAACCCCAGTGAGTGGTCCAGGTGCAGAGAGGGACTCAGGACAGATCCAGAGCAGGCCTGCACTGTCTCATGAGGAGAGGCCTCTGCACCGACTGCACAAGGGGAAGGTGCACACCTCAAACAGGGGGAAGTGGGTTGCTTCTGGCAGCCAGAGGGTTCAAAGGAACCTGGAGATTCAAAACTTCCAAGTGCCTCTTCCCAAATGTCCCCATCCTAGGACTTAGAGTCCCACTCCTCCCCAGGCGGGTCCCTGACCCTGGCTTAGCAGCCCGGCCTAGGTTGAGAGTTCAGCTTTCTCTGGTGTTTCTGATGTTGAGTCCTGAGCCTGGCTCTCACCTCTGTCGCCCTTTGGCTGCAGCACATGGAAGTGTCTCCTATTTTACCAAGGCGGCCTTTGGCTCTCAGGCCCAGCCATTCACAGCTGTGTGATCTTCCACGGCCTTTCGTCTTGTTTTCTGAAGAACCTGCCACCTCTAGCAATAGTCTTTCCATTCCACTGCCCTTATAATTTTTTAGTTCCTCCATATTCCTCCAACACTTGATACAGTGAGCCCTTTGGTACCTTCTTTCCATCACTGTGACATCCCTGCCTCCTCCAGTCTGAGTTTCACCACTGCCACTCTGCTCCAGAGCCAACCTACAACTAGTGATGGGGCTCCCACTGCCAGTGGCAGGGGTGCAGCACTGGGACCCCACTTGGTATTGCTTCCCCAGACAATCCTGAGACTAACAGCTGCTGATCAGGTGCCCAGGACGTGGGCCTTCATAAAAGAAGCTCTCAGAAACTCCTTAGAGAGTGCTGCTGGGCAGACCACCTATGAAGGAAGGAAGGGAGCAGGGCTGGGTGGAAGATGAAGCTCTCAGCTCACCCCACAGGCAGCCCACAGGAAAGCTGGGGTGTTCTGTGGAGTTGCCCCAAATTGGGATAAGGGGACCAAGCCTGAACACTCCATAACAACTAGTCATTTGGACACAAGCTGTCCCTAGGAAAATGGCAGGAAGCTTGAGTGAGGTAGCTGTCTTCAGCCAAGAGCAATTCCTGGAGAGGGTTGACAGCTGAGCTCTGTCAGTCAGCAGCAACAGCCGTAGTAATACAATAATATCCATTATATAATATATAATGTAATAGTATGTTATATAATAATTATATATTATTTGATATATAATGTAATTGCATGTTATATAATAATCATGTGATATATATCATAATTTGTATATGCATAATATATGAAAATATATCATGTACATAACATTATATATTATATCATTATATTCTACTTCATTTGTGAAAATTGGTATAAGCAGCAATAGTACATGCTATGTAATATTAGGTATTGCTATGTAATAACTTCATATATTATATTTTAAATTATATTATATATCGTGATGTGTTATGTCCTGTTGACTTTTATTAATAGATATTTAATTATTGAGAGCCAGATTGCTCCAAGACCTTAGGATCAAGAATGCACTTGCGTTGAAAGCAGAATGACCAGCAACAGCATCTCACCTTGGCAGAGTCAAAAGGAGCATCAGAAATTTTTCCCCCAATTTCCATTAACTGGGGCTTGATTCTGGCAGGAAAATGTCTTGTTCCTCTACTTTATGCAAAGCGTGTGCCAGGCAGTCAACGAGCATGCACTTTTGCACATTTTTCAGACACCCTTGTTGGCTCCAGCCTTGGTAGCACATGGCTGGGCTATGGCAATAAAAGTCTGGCAAGTTAGCAACCCGTGCTCTCCTCAGACCCAGGGAAAAGCATAGCTTTATGGTCACCAGCAATGGTCTGGAGACTGTAGTTTTAAAACATTGTACAGTCAATTCTCCACATGCATAGGAGTAGAACAAATCATCTGAAAGGCTTTGATATTTGGCTCCACAGGCATTGTGCATGGGGAGTAAAAGGGATTGATTTTTGTTTTGAGTTGTTTTAATTTTTGTCTTTTGCAGGTTTACCTTCTCAATTATATTTTGATTAGATAAATTGTAAAACTGGGCTTCATTCCCTCGGTGCTTTCTGGCTGAAAGATGGAGAGAGTGGCCAGAAGTTAGCCCAGAATTAAAGTTAGATAAAGCACAGATTACAGTCCTGCTGATAACCAAGACTTTGCTATTGACTTTCTGAGCTTAGTTCTCTGGCACAAGAGAAAGACTGTTTTCTTTTAAGCTCACAGATGTGCCTAGGTCTCAAGCCTATCTAATATAAATCTTGCAGGTTTGCCAAACAGTAAGACTTTGGAAAGTTTTACCAAGAAAGCCAGGCTTACATGCAGCAACAGCACCATTGTCCCTCCAGTGTAGACTACAATTTACATGCAGAAGAATGAAGCCAGACCCCTATCTCTCACATTATACAAAAACCAGCTCAAAATGGATCAAAGATCTAAATGTAAGATCTGAAACTAAAACTACTGGAAGAAAACATAAGAGAAATTCTTCAGGACGTTGGTTTGGGAAAAGATTTTATGAATAAGGCCTCAAAAGCACAGGCAATCAAAGCAAAAATAAACAACTGAGATTACATCAAACTGAAAAGCTTCTGTACAGCAAAGGAAACACTCAACAGAGTGGAAAGACAACCCACAGATGATACAAACTATTCATCTGACAGGGAATTAATATGCAAAATATGTAAGGAAGTGAAACATTTCAACAGCAAAAAACAAACAGTCCCATCAAAAATGGAGAGAGGTCTGAACAGACATTTCTCAAAAGACAACATGCAAACGTCCAATAAATATATGAAAAAATGCCTGGGATCATGGTGGACGGGAGGCAGGATTAGATTGCATCTCCGGAGAGAGCAGCATGCAGAGTCTCGCACTGTGAATCTGAGCTTTAGATCCACTGCAAGAACAAACCAGCAAAACTAAGAGGATCCACAGACCCTCTGAAGGAAGTGGATTCCTCCTGCAGGACCCAGGAGACACCCCAAATACTGTGAATGCCCCAACTGCAGAAGTGGGAAAGGGAAACCCCCCTCTTCCAAACACTCCCCCCTCTCCCCCACTGGAGAAGCTGAAGATCTGTTTGTGGGAGAAGTTTCTGACTTTACCTGGAGCTGAGTCAAGTTAGAGAGCCCAGCAAAACACAGGGGTAGAGAAAGCAGCAGAAAGGCCCTGGGAGCTCTTTGGGTCCCCTAGCAGCCCATTCCTGCCTGGCACCACAGGGATCCAGCAGGAAGGTGGCCTGAGGGGCAGGGGGTAACACTCTACAAGGAGAAGGAATTCTCTAGCTGAACTTTGTAACAATTTGAAGAGAACAAGAAGCCTCCTGGCCAGAATTCAGGGGAGGGCGCGAATCAGGCATGCAGACTTCACAGTGGGGGTGGGGGGATGGGGCATAAATGAAAGCCCTTCTCTCTCACAGCTGGGAGGCAGGTAGCCTCAGGCAAGTTTTCAAGCCCGTCTCACCCTCCACCTAAAAACAGACTCAGGGCTGTTGGGGAGCACGGTGGGAGTGAGACTGGCTTTTTGGTTTGCGTGGGAGCTGGATGAAACCTGTGACTGCCAGCTTTCCCCCACCTCCCTGACAACCTGCATGACTCAACAGAGGCAGCCTTAATCCTTCTAGGTACACAACTCCAGTGACCCTGGACTCTCACCCTCACCCACCACAGCAGCCGCAGCAAGACCTGCCCAAGGAGAGGCTGAGCTCAGACACGCCTAGCTCCGCCCACACCTGATGGTCCTTCCCTATCCACCCTGGTAGGGGAAGACAAAGGACATATAATCTTGGGAGTTCTAGGGCCCCTCCCACCACTGGTCCCTCTCCACACTACTACAGCTGATGCTTTCTGGAAAGCATCACCTCCTGGTAAGAGGCCAACCAGCACAAAAATAGAGCATTAAACCACCAAACCGAAGGACCCTTACAGAGTCCAATGCACCCTCTGCCACCTCCACCAGAACAGGCGCTGGTATCCACAGCTGAGAGACCCATAGATAATTCACATTCCAGGACTCCATGCAGACAACCTCCAGTAACAGCCCAGTGCCAGGTAGACTCGCTGGGTGGCTAGACCCATAACAGAGACAACAATCACTGCAGTTCAGCTCACAGGAAGCCACATCCACAGGAAAAGGGGGAGAGCACTACATCAAGGGAACACACCGTGGGACAAAAAAATCTGAACAACAGCCTTCAGCCCTAGACCTTCCCTCTGACAATGCCTAAAATGAGAAGGAACTGTAATATGACAAAACAAGGCTCTTCAACACCCCCCAAAAATCACAGTAGTTCACCAGCAATAGATCCAAACCAAGAAGAAATCCTTGATTTACCTGAAAAAGAATTCAGGAGGTCAGTTATTAAGGTAATCAGGGAGGGAACAGAAAAAGGTGAAGCCCAATGCAAGGAAATCCAAAAAATTATACAAGAAGTGAAGGGAGAAATATTCTTGGAAATAGATAGCTTAAAGAAACAACAATCAAAAATTCAGGAAACATTGGACACACTTTTAGAAATGCAAAATGCTCTGGAAAGTCTCAGCAATAGAATTGAACAAGTAAAAGAAAGAAATTCAGAGCTCGAAGACAAGGTCTTCAAATTAACCCAGTCCAACAAAGACAAAGAATAAGAAAATACAAACAAAGCCTCCAAGAAGTCTGGGATTGTGTTAAACGACCAAACCCAAGAATAATCGGTGTTCCTGAGGAGGATGAGAATTCTAAAAACCTGGAAAACATATTTGGGGGACTAATTGAGGAAAACTTCCCCAGTCTTGTGACAGACCTAGACAGCCAAATACAAGAAGCACACAGAACACCTGGGAAATTCATCACAAAAAAGATCTTCACCTAGGCACATTGTAGTCAGGTTGTCTAAAGTTAAGACAAGGGAAAGAATCTTAAGAGCTGTGAGACAGAAGCACCAGGTAACCTATAAAGGAAAACCTATCAGATTAACAGCAGATTTCTCAGCAGAAACCCTACAAGCTAGAAGGGATTGGGGACCTATCTTCAGCCTCCTCAAACAAAACATTTATCACCCAAGAATTTTGTGTCCAGTGAAACTAAGCATCATATATGAAGGAAAGATACAGTTGTTTTCAGACAAACAAATGCTGAGAGAATTCACCATTACCAAACCACTGCTATAAGAATTGCTGAAAGGAGCTCTAAATCTGGAAACAAATCCTGGAAACACATCAAAACAGAACCTCTTTAAAGCATAAATCACACAGCACCTACAAAACAGAAATGCACTTTAAAAAGCAAAAACAAAAAACAAAACCAAAGTATACAGGCACAAAGAGCATGATGAAAGCATCGGTAGCTCACATTTCAATACTAACATTGAATGTAAATGGCCTAAATGCTCCACTTAAAAGATACAAAACCACAGAATGGATAAGAACTCACCAACCAACTATCTGCTGCCTTCAGGAAACTCACCTAACACGTAAGGACTCACATAAACTTAAAGTAAAAGGGTGGAAAAAGGCAATTCATACAAAGGGACACCAAAAGCGAGCAGGGTTAACCATTCTTGTATCAGACAAAACAAATGTTAAAGCAACAGCAATTAAAAGAGACAAAGAGGGACAGTATATAATGGTAAAAGGCCTTGTCCAACATGAAAATATCACAATCCTAAACATATATGCACTTAACACTGGAGTTCCCAAATTCATAAAACGATTACTAATAGACCTAAGAAATGAGATAGCAACACAATAACAGTGGGGGACTTCAATATTCCACTGACAGCACTAGACAGGTCATTAAGACAGAAAGTCAACAAAGAAACAATGGATTTAAACTACACCTTGGAACAAATGGACTTAACAGATATATATGAACATTTCATCCAACAACTGCAGAATATACATTCAATTCAACAGCATATGGAACTTTCTCCAAGACAGACCATATGATAGGCCATAAAACGAGCCTCAATAAATTTAAGAAAATTGAAATTATATCAAGCACTCTCTCAGACCACAGTGGAATAAAACTGGAAATCAACTCCAAAAGGAACTTTCAAAACCATGCAAATACATGGAAATTAAATAACCTGCTCCTGAAAGAGCACTGGGTCAAAAACGAAATCAAGATGGAAATTAAAAAGTTTTTCAAACTGAATGACAATAATGACACAACCTATCAAAAGCTCTGGGATTCAGCAAAGGCAGTGCTAAGAGGAAAGTTCATAGCCCTGAACGCCTACATTGAAACGTCTGAAAGAGCACAAACAGACAATCTAAGGTCACATCTCAAGGAACTAGAGAAACAAAAACAAACCAAACCCAAACCCAGCAGAAGAAAGGAAATAACCAAGATCAGAGCAGAACTACATGAAATTGAAACAAACAAACAAACAAAAAATACAAAAGATAAATGGAACAAAAAGCTGTTTCTTTGAAAACATAAATGAAATTGATAGACCATTAGCAAGATTAACCAAGAAAAGAAGAGAGAAAATCCAAATAACCTCACTAAGAAATGAAACAGGAGATATTACAACTGACACCACTGAAATACAAAAGATGATTTGAGGCTACTATGAACACCTTTACGCACATAACTAGAAAACCTAGAGGAGATGGATAAATTCCTGGAAAAATACAACCCTCCTAGCTTAAATCAGGAGGAATTGGATACCCTGAACAGACCAATAACAAGCAGCAAGATTGAAATGGTAATTTTAAAATTACCAACAAAAAAAAGTCCAGGACCAGAAGGATTCACAGCAGAATTCTACCAGACATTCAAAGAAGAATTGGTACCAATCCTTTTGACACTATTCCACAAGATAGAGAAAGAAGGAACCCTCCCTAATTCATTCTATGAAGCTCCCATCATCCTAATACCAAAACCAGGAAATGACATAACCAGAAAAGAAAACTGCAGACCGATATCCTTGATGAACATAGATGCTAAAATCCTTAACAAAATACCAGCTAACTGAATCTAACAACATATCAAAAAGATAATCCACCATGATCAAGTGGGTTTCACACCAGGGATGCAGGGATGGTTTAACGTATGCAAGTCAATAAATGTGATACACCACATAAACAGAATTAAAAACAAAAATCACATGATCATGTCAATAGATGCAGGAAAAACATTCGACAAAATCCAGCATCGCTTTATCATTAAAACCCTCAGGAAAACCGGCATACAAGGGACATACCTTAACATAATAAAAGCCATCTATGACAAACCCATAGCCAACATAATACTGAATGGGGAAAAGTTCAAAGCATTCCCTCTGAGAACGGGAACAAGACTAGGATGCCTACTCTCACCACTTGTCTTCAATATAGTACTGAAAGTCCTAGTCAAAGCAATCAGACAAGAGAAAGAAATAAAGGGTGTCCAACTCGGTAAAGAGGAAGTCAAACTGTCACTGTTTGCTGACGATATGATCATTTACCTTGAAAACCCTAACAACTCCTCCAGAAAGTTCCTAGAACTGATAAAATAATTCAGCAACTTTCTCAATACAAGATTAATGTATACAAATCAGTAACTCTTCTATACATCAACAGCAACCAAGCAGAGAATCAAATCAAGAACTCAACCCTTTTTACAGTAGTTGCAAAAAATAAAATAAAATAAAATACTTAGGAATATACCTGACAAAGGAGTTGAAAGACCTCTACAAGAAAAACTACAAAACACTGCTGAAAGAAATCATAGACAACACAAACAAATGGAAACATATCCCATGCTCATGGGTGGGTAGAATCAATATTGTGAAAATGACTATACTGCCGAAAGCAGTCTACAAATTCAATGCAATCCCCACCAAAATACCATCATCATTCTTCACAGACTTAGAAAAAACAATTATAAAATTCACATGGAACCAAAAAAGAACTTGTATAGCCAAAGCAAGACTAAGCAAAAAGAACAAATCTTGAGGCATCACACTATCTGATTTTAAACTATGCTATAAAGATATAGTCACCAAAACAGTGTGGTAGTAGTATAAAAATAAGCACATAGACCAAGGGAACAGAATAGAGAACCCAGAAATAATCCAAAATAATCCCAAATACTTACAGTCAACTGATCTTCGACAAAGCAAACAAAAACCTAAAGTGGGGAAAGGACACCCTTTTCAACAAATGGTGCTGGGATAATTGGCTAGCCACATGTAGGAGAATGAAACTGGATCCTCATCTCTCACCTTATACAAAAATCAACTCAAGATGGATTAAGGATTTAAACCTACGACCTGAAGGTATAAAAAGTGCTAGAAGGTGACATTGGAAAAACCTTTTAGACATTGGCTTAGGCAAGGATTTCATGACCAAGAACCCAAAAGCAAATGCAATAAAAACAAAAATAAATAGCTGGGCCTAATTAAACTAAAGAGCTTTTGCACGGCAAAAGGAACAGTCAGCAGAGTAAACAGACAACCCACAGAGTGGGAGAAAATCTTCACAATCTATACATCTGACAAAGGACTAATATCCAGAATTTACAATGAATTTAAACAAATCAGTAAGAAAAAAAACAAATAATCCCATCAAAAAGTGGGCTAAGGACATGAACAGACAATCCTCAAAAGAAGATATACAAATGGCTAACAAACATATGAAAAAATGCTCAACACCACTAATGATCAGGGAAACTCAAATCAAAACTACAATGCGATACCACCTTACTCTTTCAAGAATGTCCATAATCAAAAAATCAAAAAACGGTAGACCCTTGGCATGGATGTGGTGTACAAGGAACACTTCTACACTGCTGGCAGGAATGTAAACTAGTACAGCCACTGTGGGAAACAGTGTGGAGATTCCTTAAAGAACTAAAAGTAGAACTACCATTTGATCCAGCAATCCCACTACTGGGTATCTACCCAGAGGAAAAGTCAATATTTGACAAAGATACTTGCACACGCATGTTTACAGCAGCATAATTCACAATTGCAAAATTGTGGAACCAACCCAAATGCCCATCAATCAACCAGCAGGTAAAGAAACTGTGATGTGTGTGTGTGTGTGTATGTAAGTGTGTGTGTGTGTATATATATATATATGATGGAATATGTATATGATGGAATACTATGTAGCCATAAACAGGTATGAATTAACAGCATTTGCAGTGATCTGGATGAGACTGGAGTCTATTATTCTAAGTGATGTAATGCAGGAATGGAAAACCAAACATCGTATGTTCTCACTGATATGTGGGAGCTAAGCTATGAGGATGCAAAGGCATACGAATGAGTCAGTGGACTTTGGGGACTTGAGGGGAAGAGTGGGAGGAGGGCGAGGGATAAAAGACTACAAATATGGTGCATTGTATACGTGGGTGGTGGGTGCACCAAAATCTCACAAATCACCACTAAAGAACTTATTCATAAAACCAAATACCACCTGTGCCCCAATAACTATGGAAACAAATTTGAAAAAATGTTCAGCATCACTAATCATCAGGGAATTGCAAGTCAAAACTACAGTTAGGTATCATCTCACCCAAGTTAGGATGGCTATTATCAAAAAGACAAAAAGACAAACAAACAAACAAACAAACAAAAAAAACATTGTTAAGTATATAGAGAAAAGGGAACTCTTGTATGCCATTGGTGGGAGTGTAAACTGGTACAGCCACTATGGGGAACAGCATGGAGGCTCCTCAAAAAACTACAAATAGAACTATCACATGCTTCAGCAACCCCACTACTGGGAATTTATCAAAAGAAAGGAAATCGGCACTTTTAAGACATCTGCACCCCCATGTTTATTGCAGCACTATTCCCAATAGCTAAGATATGGAAACTATGTAAGTGTTCAACATAGACAAATGAATGAAGAAAATGTATGTTATATATACACAATGAAATACTATCCAGTCATAAAGAGGAATGAAATACTGTCATTTGCAGCAATAAGTGTGGAAAGGGAGGACATTACGTTAAGTGAAATAAGCTCAGAACAGAAAGTTAAACACAACGTGTTCTCACTCATATGTGGAAGCTAAAAAAAAAAGTTGATTTCATAGAAGTAAAAAGAACACAGGAGACTAGAGCCTGGGAAGGGTAGGGGAAAGGAGGGATTGGCAAAAGAACAGCTGGATAGGAGGAATAGGTTCTAGTGTTCTTCAGCACGGTAGGATGACTGTAGTTAACAGTGATGATACGGATAGTGTCAATAGCTAGAAGGAGGAGGATATGGAATGTTCCCAACAAAAAGAGATGATAAATATTTGACCTAAAGGATATGCTGATTGCCACTATACATTATATATATCAAAACATCACTATAAAGATGTATAATTATGTCAATCAAAAAAATTTTTAATAAAAAGGAAATGAAAAAAGAAAACATCATAGAGAAGAAAGGATACCTGCCTGCATAGGTTTTCATTGCAAACGAAGGTGGCCTATCTGATTCTCATTTCTGCACAGTGGAATGTGGCAGCAGCCCCTACCGGTGACTGAGTTCTCATCATAATGGCAGAAAACACGGTTTTGAAAGCTGATATCTTTAAAGGCAGGTGTGACCCAGCAGCCTACGCTGCAACAATCACTTTTATTTCTTACACTGCTCGTGGGCTCAGTCTGACCGGTAACTTGCACCAATAGTACAAGCCAGAATGCCAACCTGCCCACTTCCATCTCACACCAACCTTGATGTTCTATTGGGTACTGAAACCAAAAATCGAAGTTTAGCTGAAAAACACACATCTACTATGTTGAGCATCTACTGTGTGGAGCGATTCTAGCATTCTTGATTTGTTTTGTTTTATTGCTGCTGTCATTTTGTTTTGCGTTTTAGTGGACAGACCTCTCCTTTGAGGCATCTTTTACTTCTTCTCTGGTGGAAGCCAAAACCATCGGTCTTTCACGTGCCTTTCTAATTGTTTTTAACCCACTGTGATCTAACCCAGTGGCTGACAGAGAAGGAGCTGGAGGAGATATGAATTGCTGACTGAGTCTCCAACAGGTTGGAGTCTAGGAGAGAGGGAGACTTGGGCTTTAGTGTAGACCATTGTTGAATTGTGGGGTAATCTTTGAAGCCATGCCCAGATTCTATACAATGGTGCATTTTAAAGATAGGAAAAACAAATATGGAAGAAATGAATAAACCAAAAGAGATAGTATCAGTGCCCTGGGGCTTGATTAAAACAACAATAGGACAAGCAGAAACTCTGGTAACTCCCAGACTGGGAAGCCAGTTAGGGATTTGAGGGCTGTTTTTGCATGTCTTTTAATTTAGCGTGACATACTAAAAGAATCTTAGAGTATTTTGGTTCATTTTTCCTGTCCTTAATTCTCTTTTATTGGTTTCTGCTTCGACGTTACCTTTTAGTTCGGTTTTGTTTGATGAGAAATGGTTTTGGAATTTTGACTCAAAAATGGAGGGATTCTTTATCTATTTTGTTCCTGGATCAAATAAAATCACCGAATGTCTGACATCAGTTCTACTGTTTGAGATCTTTTATGCTACTCCTTTAATTCCTTCTCACATGGGGTCTGAAATCCTGAATTGGAAGCTGTCATTTCCCTACCAGCTCTTCTGTCACCTATTTTATAAATTCCCTGAAGCCAAATCACATTAGTCTACCCTTCCTTGAGGTTAACAGTTGATTTAATTTAACTGTGTCTCCTAGGAAGGCCCTTTCACTAGCTATCCTGGTTGGCAGCGTTTCCTCTTTCTCTTGGGCCCATGTTTCCTCCTTAGAGATAACAAAGGCCCCATTTTTTCCCTCCTCTCCATACATAGCCGAGAAGTTTAACAACCCACAGCTATTCACTCTGCTCCCAGTTATTTGTCCAGCAGTGTCCCGTGTGTACGTGCATGTGTGTCTGGTGTAGGGAGGTGCCCACCAGGGCAGAACACACTAGAAAGATATCACTGCTTTTGCCCTTCAAGACCTTACAACTTAATGGGGTACATAAGATGGCCTTAATGTAATTAAGCAGACAAATTAAAGCAGACAAATAGGAAAAAGCTCAAATGGGAGAATAAGAAAAAGTAGTAGAGCAACAACAAGAATTTGTTGAATGATTCTTAATTCATTGCCAGGCACTATACTAAGCACATTGTGAGCAATATCCTATTCAATTCTCTCTACAGCCTTACAAGTCTGGGGGACTATGATTAGTCCCATTTTACAGATAAGACAATGAAGGCTCTGAAGTGTTAAGTGACTTGGCCCAAACCGCACAGCTACTGCATACAGGTGACTTCTGGTTCTGGGGCCTGAGCTTGTAACCATGGCCATGTCCTTGCTGTGGGTGCGACAGACTCTCAGAGCAGGAGCAAGTCAGGAAGAGCCACACGAGTCGGAAGTTGCACAGCTGAGCTGGGCTTTGAGAGACTCACAGAGTTCAGCTCAAAGGAAGGGCATTTCAGGAGGCAGGTGGGAGGATGGAGGAGAGCATAATAATGAGGCATGGTGAACGGCAGGAAAGGTTGGGTCAGGGGCTTGTGCACAGAAGGTGGCCACAAAACATGGGACTCGACGTGGCAGGCTGCAGGCGGGCTCCAAGCCTGAGAGACGATGTGGACTGTGGGCTTTGGCTCAGCCGTGGCTCAGGAGGCACCGGCGCTGACGTGTAGGTGCTGTCCTGGGCTGGGCTGGTGTCTGCAGGATGAAGCAATGGGGCATCCTCCAGTTTATTCCAATTTTGGGTTTAGTTCTCCTTTTTGAAATTCCTTTTCTTTTATGGTTACTTTAATTCTGTTCACTTTTGTGAGCAATGACTTTGAAATCATGACTCGGAAAGGTCAGAGAAAGAGACACCCGGAGACCAATAATCACCAACAGGGCTGGGGACAGATTCAATAGGAAGGAAAAAAAAACCAAAGGCTTCCCCAAAGGCAGGCTCTGGGTGTCTGGAAATGTGGTTTTGCTGACAGAATTAGGACAAGGAGCCAGTCTGGGGGAGGATGACCTCAGTTTTGGATAAGTTGAGTCTGAGGTGACATCAGAGAGCCGGTGGAGCAGTCTAGTCGGTAGCCTGGGGTACAGCGAGAGGTCAAGGCCAAGAGAACAGGCTTGTTATTTTCTTTCTCTTTATTTCCAAGAAATTCCACATTGCCACTCCCACACCCTACCTTTTTTTTTTTTTCCTTTTATATGGCTACTAGATTTTTCCAGAACCATCCAGACACTTCCACAATCCCAGCACCCTTCTAGTCCAGCCTACACAGCCCTGTCTCCATGACAGGCTTGGTAAAACTGCCCCCATGGAAAGCGTTGCTGATTCCTCACCAGAATGTCTCTCTGCAGGAAGTGCAGACTCCCGGGAGCTTTGAGAACGTGGCTCATTACTCATGGTCTGTCCAAGCCCTGCTGTCTGTGCAGAGGGGACTCTGACTTCAGTTAGGTCTGTGACATGCACTCTCCCATCAGGGGCAGCTGCCAAAACCCAAGCAGAAATCTACAGTGACGGTTTCCATTCACAGATAATATTGTGTGTGTGGCTGGCTGCGGACTGGAAATGTGGATCCTGTCAGTACCACTGAACTCACTTGGAAAACGCGGCTGCAATGTGTCACGCACAGGCACACTGGCCAGAGGCCGGGACCCAGGCCCTGCGGCGGTGGGAGCTGCGAATGCACTGACTGGACGTGGGCCCTGTCAGAAACACTTCATCCATCAGTGCGCAGCCCACTGGGGCCCGGAGGGCTCCATGAAAGTCACCGGGCCCTGAGACACCAGGAATATGCTTCCTGTGCTCCAAGATCACCCAGTACCCCTCTGGTCCCTTCAAAGGCTGTGATTCCACCTCTGAAAATGGGTTAGAGAAACCTGGCATTAAACAAAGATGATGAGAGTCCACCGCTTCAGACTGAACTCCTGCCCTAGGCCCCAACAGACCAGGCCAAATCAAAATGGAATCACTCATGCCAAATGTCACATCATCAAACTGAAACTTGAAGGAAGCAAATAGGGCCCAAAACAGACCAGTTTTTCCTGAAAACAGGAGATTCCAGTCTACTGAGTCAGCATAATAAGGAAGTTACGTTCTCCAAACCTTCCAAAACAAGTATCCTCATGCTAACCAGTCAGCTTTTTTCTTGTTTCCCTGTTCCCACCTTACCAAACCCACTGTTCTGCTCTTGCCCAGTGAGATCTCTCATTCTGTTTAATAGAAGGGAGGCTGCCCTGGTTCATGAATCATGCATAAAAGCCAATGAGACCTACAGCTAAATGGGTTGTAATTTTGTCAACAGGTAGGTTTGATGTGCCCTGGGGTTAGAGGTGAGAGCAGGTATGGGCTCTGTGGGTGAGGCCCTGTGGACCAGGGCATGGAGGAGGCCGTGTGGCTTTGTGGAGCCACACAGCAATGGTGTGGGCTGCTGGGTTCTTCTAACCACAGCAGGACAACAGGTCCCTGAAGCTGGAGGCAGCCCCAGAGGCATCTCAGCCAGCCTTCTCCTTGTAAAGGTAAAACTCGGAGCTCAGAAGGGATCTGTGTCTTGTCCCTGTAGGAGTAGAAGAGAGAACTCTAACCCAAATCCCGGGATCCCTCCACTACTCCCTAACCCCCTTTTCAAGTGCGTTTCAAAAGAATGGGGAAGTGAGGCTAATATTAAGAATTTGTCACAGGTTATAACTGCTTTATGAAACAGATCTTCAGGTTTCTTGGTGGTGCAAAGGCAGTATCACCCTCCCCTTCTCACAGTACTGTGACTCCTTCTGCCAGGTTAGTTACAAATATAGGACCTGCTTTTTCTTTCTTTCTTTCTTTCTTTCTTTCTTTCTTTCTTTCTTTCTTTCTTTCTTTCTTTCTTCTTTCTTTCTTTCTTTCTTTCTTCTTTTTTTAATCAGGGGAAGCAAGGATTCAGGTAGTGCTCCAAGGCTAGGTGGTGTCCGCCCTCTTCAAGGCCACAGCAAGGCTCCAGGCTAGAAAAATCTTGGTTCCTTTACATGTACCTCTCTGGTTACTTTTCTTCTCATCTATAAAAACACAGCATTAGCCAGATGTGGTGGTACATGCCTGTAGTCCCAGCAACTTAGGAGGCTGAGGTGGGAGGATCCCTTGAGCCCAGGAGGTTGAGGCTGCAGTGAGCTATGATCATGCCACTGTGCTCCACCTGGGCAACAGAGCAAGATCCCATCTTTAAAATATGAATAAGTAAATAAAATCATAGTGGTAGGTACTGTGACTTCTACTGTCCTCCCAAGCTCTCAAATTCTATTATTCCATAAAATCAAAGTGGCTTTAGTCTTCCTGAGAAGTCCTTATCCACGCAGATTTTAGTGATAACACTCAGAGTTGGCGCTGGTGGATAGTACCTACGCTGGGCCTTTGTAGAAATCACACTGGCAGTGTGCGTAAGGAAATCTAAAATGGCACCAGTCTTTTTACTTTCTACAAGTCTGTCCTGGGGAAATAATCTGAACTGCAATCCAGATATATCTATAAGCATATTTATTATTATAACATTATTTAGAGAATCAGAGAATTACAAACTATTTCCAATGTAATTTCCAATTACAAACAATGTCCAATATAGGGCAGTGGTTAAATCTAGTCATAATGGTAATAGTACGCAGTTACCAAAACTATGTTTTCAGAGAATATTTGTAAGAAAAATACTCATAGTATGTTATATGTTAATATAATATACAAATGAAAATTGCCAGTAATCCTTAGTTTTAGGAAAAGAGATCTACAATTTATACATGAATTTTTAAAAACTAGAAATAAAAGAAAATGCTAGCAGTGAACATAGGAATCATAGATGATTTTTAAAAATGTTCTCTACAATTTTTAAGTTTTCTCTGAAGAATAGGTATATCTTTTATAATCATAAAATAAATAATGGGACAAAAATTACTCACTAGGACTTCTGCTTCCAGGAAGATAGAGTCATCCACTTTTCCCTAAGTCATCCACTTTTCCACCCTCTAAGTACAACTAAAGACCATGCACATTATCTACAAAACAAATATAAGAAGACTCTGAAAGATGGAGAAGAAGGCAGACCAGCTGGGGACATGACGGGCTAAGGAAAAAACAGCGGTGAGTTCGCTGGGTTATCTTCTTCTCTCATATATCCCTGTCTTGGAGCTGAAGAAGGCAGAAACCCAGGCACAGGAAAAAAAAAAAACAAAAAAAAAAGCCCCAACAAAAGCCTGCTCTCTCTAGCTAAAGGACCAGGAAAAGGGCAGATTAGCAAAACAGGATACTTTTAGACAATGACTGCTGTATTCCAGGCAAACAGCACAGAAAAAACTTTGCCCCCCAACCCCCACCCCACCGCCCAACACAAATAAAGGCCAGATAGGATGCCCAGACTTCACTCTTGCAAGGCTGCAATGAGCCCTAAACCCCGACTGGGGTGGTGTCAGAGAGGACTGAGTTGGGAGCTGGGACTTCCACGATAGTGAGTAATGAGCCTCCTGCCTCTCCCCATTCTCATAGTGTCATTGGACATCATGCAGAGAACTTGGACTTCTGCCCCCACCAATCAGTAATAAGTAGTGCCCCTCTTTTTCCCCTGTTGGAGCATTGCCACAGAAAGCCAGCAAAACAGAAAGTTTAAATAAGGTCCAGGGTTTTAGGCCAGGTGTGGTGGCTCATGCCTGTAATCCCAGCACTTTGGGAGGCCGAGGCAGGTGGATCACCTGAGGTCGGGAGTTTGAGACCAGCCTGACCAACACGGAGAAACCCTGTTTCTACTAAAAATTCAAAATTAGCTGGGTGTGGTGGCACATGCCTGTAATCCCAGCTACTCGGGAGGCTGAGGCAGGAGAATCGCTTGAACCTGGGAGGCGGAGGTTGCAGTGAGCCAAGGTCGCGCCATTGCACTTCAGCCTGGGAAACATAAGCGAAACGCCATCTCAAAAAAAAAAAAAAAAAAAGATCCAGGGTTTTATATGCCCAAAAATGTCCAGGCTTCAATAAAAAAATTACTCATCATACTAAGAACCAGGAAACTCACAGTCTGAATGAAAAAGGACAATCAATAGACACCCACACCAACCTTAGAAAGATGTTAGAATTATCCGAAAAGGTTTTAAAGCAGCCATGACAAAAAAAGCTTCACTAGCAAATATAAACAAATTTGAAACAAAAGAAAAAAAAATAAAAGTTTCAGAAAAGAAATAGAAAGTTTACACAAAAAAGAAGGCATAAAGAAGAACCAAATGGAAATTTGAAGGTTGAAATAATGCAATAACCAAAAATTAAAAACTCAGTGAATGGGCTCAACACCAGAATGGAGGAGACAAAGGAAAAAATCAGTAGTTGAAGTTAGAACAGAAGTTCCCCAACCTGAACAACTAAAAGAAAACAGGCTAGAAAAATAAATAAATAAACAGACGCTCACAAACTTGGAGGACTATAATAAAAGACATGACATCAGGGTCATCAGAGTCCCACAGGGAGAAGACAAAGAAAGTGGTGCTGAAAAAGTACTCGAAGAAATAATGATTCAAAATTCCCCAAATTTAGCCAAAGACATAAACTAACAGATTGAGGAAGTCAAGCAAACCCTCAACTGGATATACCCGAAGGAATCCACACCAAGACACATCACGTCATCATTCTAAAAACAAAACAAAACTCTTACAAGCAGCAAGAGAGGAGTGACATCTGGCCTATAGAGGAAAAGTGATTCAAATGTCAGTAGATTTTTCACCAGAAACCATGGATGCAAGAAGGAAGCGGCACAACATTTTTCAAAGGCTGAAATAGAAGAACTATTAGCCCAGAATCTTATATCTGATGAAAATGTTAAGGTATGAAGGAAAAATAAAGATATTTTCAGATGAAGAAAAATAAAGATAATTTGCTGCCATCATACCTGCTCTAAAAGAATGGCTAAAGGAGATTCTCCAACAAGTAAGGAAATCCTTAAAAAAAGAAAACAGAATCTTGAAATATCAGAAAGGAAGAAAGAACAATGGAAAGAGAAAAATGTGATAAATAAAATACATTTTCTTTTCTTAAGTTTCCTAAATTATGTTTGATGACTGATATAGTTATTAGAAGAAACATTTAAGATAGTTATTAAATGGGGGAAGATAAAAGGACATAAGGGAAGTAAGATTTCTGCACTTTACTTAAACTGGCAATATGTAGTACACTGTGATGTTATGTATATATAATCTAATGCCTAGAATAATCACTGAAAAAGCTAAACAAAGAAATACACTCAAAAATATGATAGATGAATCAAAATGGAATTCTAAAAAATGTTCAAGTAGCCCGACAGGAAAGCGGGAAAAGAAAACAAATAAAAAACAGAGTAAACAGAAAACAAAAACAAAAAAGTAGACTAAAGCCCTAACATGGCAAAAATTACACTAAATGTAAAGGCCTAAATACTCAATTAAAAGACACAGATTGGCAGATTGAATTTTAAAAATTGCTATATGTGCTGTCTAAAAGAAACTCACTTCAGCTATAACAATAGAGGCAGATTAAAATTAAAATAAAGAATATATTATACAAATATAAATCAAAATAAATCACTATTAGCTATATAGTAACATCAGATAAAGTAGATTTCAAAGCAAGGCAAACTACCAGAAACAGAGATATTACATAATGATTAAAAGCTCAGTCCACCAAGAAGACATAGCAATCCTAAGGTATGCACCAAACAATAGAGAAATATGTCAAATATGTGAAGGAAAAAATACATAGAATGAAGACAAATATATAAATCTGTAATTATAATTGGAAACTTCCACAACACTTCCTTCAATAATTGACAGAATAACAAGACAGAAAACTGGCAAGGATACAGAAAACCTCAATAACGTCATCAACCAATAGGATTGAATTGACATTTATAGAACACTCTGCCCCCAAATAGCACAATATATATTTTCCTCAAGCATCCACAGAAATATACTAAGATAGACTATATCCTGGGCTATAAAACAAATCTCAAAATTTTAAAAATATTTTAAATTGTACCGAGTGTACTTCTGACTAAAATGAAATCAAATTAGAAATTAGTAACAGAAAGATAACAGGAAAATCTCCAAACATTTGGTAACTAGACAATACACGTCTAAATAACCACAGATAACAGAGAAAGTCTCCAGGGAATTAAAAAAAATGCATTAAACTGAACGAAAGTGAAAATACAATGTAAAAATATTTGTGGCATACAACTAAAATAGCGCTGACAAGGAAATGCGTATTACTAAGTGCTTACATTAGAACAGAGAAAAAGCCTGAAATCAATAGTCTAATCTCCCACCGCAGGAATCTAGGAAAAGAAGAGAAAAATTAACACAAAACCAGGAAAAAAAAGAAATAATAAAGATCAGAGCACCAATCAATAAAATTGAAAAGAAAAGAGAGAAAATCAATGAAACTAAAGGATGGTTCTTTGAAATGTTCGATAAAATTGACAAGCTGGTATGAAGACTGACAAAGAAAAAAGAGAGTGGACACAATTTGCCAATGCCGGAAATGGCATGAAAGATCACTAGAGAACTTACAGCTATCAAAAGGATAGTGAGGTGATACTAAAATAAATAAATCTGACAACTTAAATGAATGGATCAACTTACTGAAAAGCACAAACTACCACCACTCATTCAAAATAAATAGATCATTAAATATCCATTTAACTATAAAGGAATTGAATTAATAATTTTAAAACACCCCAAAGATAAAATCTCAAGGCCCAGGTGGTTTCGCTGAAAAATTACACCAAATGTTTAAAGAATTAACACTAACTCTATGCAATCTCTTTCAAAAAATAGAAGAAAAGGGAATACTTTTCAATTCATCTTATGAAGCTAGAATTATTCTGGTACAAAAAAAAAAACAGAAAAAGGCAGTACAAAAAAAGAAAAATACAGACCCATATAGATGCAAAACATCTTATCAAAATATTAGCAAATAGAATTTGGCAATACATAAAAATATATGCCATGAGCAAGTAAAGTATACTTCAGTAAAGTAAAGCTGCTTAAATATTTCAAAATCAATGAATGTAACCTACCATACTAATATGCTTAAAAAAAACTATTAAATCAATTGGTGAAGAAAATACTTTCTAAAAATTCAAAACTGAATCATAACAAAAACTCTCAGAAAAATGCAAATAGAGGATAATTTCTACTTGATAAAGAGCATCTACAGAAACCCTACAGCTAACAATATACTTAATAGTGAAATAGTGAATGTTTTCTTACTTTTTTTTTTTTTTTATTGACCAGGCTGGTGTGCAGCGGCTCCATCTTGGCTCACTGCAATCTCCGCCTCCTGAGTTGAAGTGATTCTCCTGCTCTGACTCCCAAGTAGCTGGGATTACAGGGGCCCAACACCAGGCCTAGCTAATTTTTGTATTTTAGTGGAGATGGGGTTTCACCACATTGGCCAGGCTGGTCTTGAACTCCTGACCTCAGGTGATCCACCTGCCTCTGCCTCCCAAAGTGCTGGGATTATAGGCATAAGCCACTGTGCCCCACCTGAATGTTTTCTTTCTAAGATTAAGAACAAGGCAAGAATGTCCCATCTCTCAACTCCCATTTAACACAGTAGTGGAAATTGTATTCAATGCAATAAGGCGAGAAAATAAAATGAAAGGCGTACAGAGTAGAGGTGACGAAATAAAACTGTTCCTATTTGTAGATAATATGATGATCTATGTAGAAAATCCCCCCAAAATCCACAAAAACTCCTAAACTAATCATATTAATAAACTATTTAGCTAATAAGCAAGCTCTGCAAGGTTACAGGATAGAAGACAAACCAATGTATGAAAATCAAGTGTATTTATATATTCTAGCCATGAAAATGTGGACACCTCAATTAAAAATACAATACAGTTATAATCACTAACAAGCAGGAAACACTTTAGGGTAAATACAACAAAATATATAGAACTTGCATGCTGAAAACTACAAAATGCTAACAAAAGAAGTCAAAGAAGACCTAAATAAATGGAGAGATATACCATGTTTATGAATTGGAAGAGCTAAAATAATTAAAATGTCAATTCTCCCCACACTGATACACAGTTTATAGTAGATTGAGTAAAATCTGTGAATATATTCAGGTCATAATCCCTGGAAGGAGTAAAATCTGTGAATATATTCAGGTCATAATCCTTGGAACCTCTGAATGCTATCTTATATAAAGGAACTGGGCTGGGCATGGTAACTCACATCTGTAATCCCAGCACTTTGGGAGGCCGAGGTGGGCCGATCACCTGAGATCAGGAGTTCGAGATCAGACTGTCCAACATGGTGAAACCCCGTCTCTACTAAACATACAAAAATTTAGCCAGGCATAGTGGCACATGTCTGTAATCCCAGCTACTTGGGAGGGTGAGGCAGGAGAATCACTTGAACCGTGGAGGCAGAGGTTGTAGTGAGCCGAGATTGCACATTGCACTCCAGCCTGGGCAACAAGAGGGAAACTCTGTTTCAGAAAACAAAAAACAAAAAAACGGAACTGTGCACTTGTGATTAAGCTAAGGATGTTGAGGTTGGGAGACTATCCTAGATTATTTTGGGCGTCTAAAATGTAATCACAAGTGTCCTTATAAGAGGGAACCAGAGGGATAGTTGACGCAGAAGTGCAAGTGGGAGGTGAAAATGAAGCAAAAGGTTGGAGCAATGGACTTTGAAGATGGAGGAAGGAGTCCTAAGCCAAGCCATGCAGACGGCCACTAGAAACCAGAAGAGGCAAGAAAACAGATTCTTCCCTCAGAGCCTCCAAAATAAACCAGCCCTGTCCATACCTTAACTTCAGTCCAATATGTCTGAAGACTTCTCGCCACCAGAACTGTAAGAGAATAAACTCGTTGTTTTAAGCCAGTAAGTCTGTGAGAATTTGTTAAAGCAGTAATAGGAAACTAGTAAACAGGTTTAATGAGATTCCTACCAAAATCTCAACAAGATTTTTTTTTGTAGCTATAGATAAGCTTATTCTACATTTATATGAAAAAGCAAAAAAACTAGAATAGCCAAAAACATTTTTAAAAAGAGATGAAATTCTTGAAAGAATTTAGTCTACCCAATTTAGATTGATTGAAAGAAATTAGTCTACCCAATTTCAGGATTCCTTACATAGCTAAGACTGTGTGGCATTGGGGGAGGGATAGGCATATATAGATCAATGAAACAGAATAGAGAACACAAAAATTGATGCACACAAATATGCCCGATTGACTTTTGACAAAGGTACAAAAGCAATTCAATGGGGAAAGTATAGCCTTTTCAACAAATAGTAGACAAGTGGACATATATAGGCAAAAAAAAAAGAAACCCCTTAAACTAACCCTTATTAAATTTATATAAAAATTAATCAAAATGGATCATGCTCTTAAATTAAAATTAAAAATTATGACACTTTTTGAAAAAAATAGGAGGAAATCTTTGCGAACTAGGGCTAGGTAAAGAGTTATTAGACTTGACATGAAAAACATGATTCATAAAAGAAAAAAGTGATAAATTGGATTTCATCAAAACTAAAAACTTTTGCTATGTGAAAGTTTTAAGAGAATGAAAAGACAAGCTATAGACCAGGAAAAAATATTTGAAAACCACATATTTGACAAGGGACTAGTATCTATTAAACAAATATAGCAAGATTGCTGACAAAAAAACAAAGATAAAAAAATCATATTCTTCTTGGCAACTTCTCTGTAACAAGCAATTGGGAACTGAAAATAAGAAAACAATGCCCCTTAATAACACCAAAAAATGAAATACTTAGGTATAAATCTAACAAAATATGTACCTGATCTCTATGTATGAAACTGCAAACAACGGTGAAAGAAATCAAAGAAGATCTAATAAATAGGAAAATATTCCATATTCATGGACTGGAAAACTCAATATTGTTGAAATGTAAATTCTTCACAACTTGATCTATAGATTAAATGCAATCCCAATCCCAATGAAAATCTCAGTGAGCTATTCTATCGATATTGGCAAACTGCTTCTAAAATTCATATGGAAAACAGAAGATCTAGAATAGCCAATGCAAAACAAAAGAAGATCAAAGTTGGAGGACTCAACATTCCAATTTCAAGACTTACTATAAAACTACAGTAATCAAAGCAGCATGATACTAGCCAAAGAATAGACATGTATATCAATGGGATAGAATACAGAATCCAGAAACAGAGCTCCCCAGATACAGTGATACAGTTTGGTTCTGTGTCCCCACCCAAATCTCACCTTGAATTGTAATAATCCCCATGTGTCAAGGGTGGAGCCAGATGGAGATAATTGAATCATGAGGGCAGTTTCCCCCATGCCATTCTCATGATAGTGAGTGAGTTCTCACAAGATCTGATAGTTGTATAAGTAAGTGTCTGGCGTTTCCCCTGCTGGCACTCATTTGCTCTTGCCTGCTGCCATGTAAGATGTGCCTTTGCTCCTCCTTTGCCTTCTGCCATGATTGTGAGGCCTCCCCAGCCATGGGGAACTGTGAGTCCATTAAACCTCTTTTTCTTTATAAACTACCCAGTCTCAGTTATGTCTTTATTAGCAGCATGAAAGTGGACTAATACATAGAGTAAAATGATTTTTAAAACAAAAAAAAAAAATTCAGGGGCAAAGTCACTTCACTGGCAAAAGAATAGTCTCTTTAACAAATGATGCTGGAACACTTGTATGTACATATGCATAACAAACAAAGAATAAAAATAGACTTTACACCTTATACAAAAGTTAATTCAAAATGAATCATAGGCCTAAGTTAAATACTGCAAAATTATAAAACTTAGAAAATATACAAGAAAATCTATGTGACCTTGGATTGGTGATGAGTTTTCAGAAAAATATTGAAACAATATCAAAAGCATGATCCATGAAAGAAAAAAGTAGATAAGTTGAACTTTATTAAAATTAAATTTTATTCTGCAAAAGGCACTCTTAAGAGAATGGAAAGATAAGCCACTGGCTGGGAGAAAATTCATGTCAAATATATATCTGATAAAGGACTTGTATCCAAAATATAAAGAACTGTTAAAACTCAAAAATATAAAATAAACAACCCAATATAAAAATGGGCAAAAGGCCAGGCGCAGTGGCTCACGCCTGTAATCCCAGCACTTTGGGAGGCCATAAAAATGGCTAAAATCTAAAACACTGACAATAGCAATTGCTGGTGAAGATGTAGAGCAAAGGAGACTCATTTATTGCTTGTGAGAATGCAAAACGATACAGTTACTTTGGAGGACAGTTGGGCAGTTTCTTACAAAATTAAACGTAATCTTACCATATGATCCAGCAATTGTACTCCTAGTAGTTATCCAATTGATATGAAAACTTATGTCCACACCAAAACCTACCCATAAATTATTATAGAAGCTTTATTTATGATTGCCTCAAAGTTGAAGGAAGCAAGATACCTTTCAGTAGGTGATTTGAAAAACTGTAAAGCATCCATAGGATAGAATGCCATTCAGTGATCAAAAAGAATAAGCTATCAAGCTTAAAGGCCATGGAAGAACATTCAATGCATATGTCTAAGTGAAAGAAGCTAATCTTAAAAGGTTACATACTGCACAATTCCCCATATATAAATACGACATTCTGGGAAAGACGAAACTACAGAGATGGCAAACAGATCAGTGGTTTAGGGTGGAGAGAGGGTTAAGTCTGTGAAACAGGGAATTTTTTTTAGGGTGGTGAAATTATTCTGGTGGACAATGACACTATGTATTTGTCAAGACATTGAATTTTACAGCAGCAAGAGTGAACCTTAGTGTATGCAATTTTTAAAATAATCATTTATTAGGTTGGGGGATCCTAGAATGGAATGCAGATTGCATCAAAAGAATCTAACTATATTACAAAGGTATGAAACACCCTCATGGAGGGGGTTGGAGGAAAAAGATGCTGACACCAGTAACTTTGAAAATGAGTGGCGGATGTTTGACTAAGGGCAAAAATGAGCTGAATGTGTGCACTGTACTGTAAAGTTGTTCTCATGAAAGTATGGTATAAAGTTTTGTGAAGGTATAAAGTTGTTTGTGAAGGAAAGTGTTAACAATTATAAAACCACTACACACATATTCTGGAACTGAACAATTAAGAAAATACATGACAGATGGTCGGTAGATTTCTAACTCTTGGAGTAAGAAGTTATAGACAAGCAAGGGAAAGAAGTTAGAATGATCTATTTGGTGATAGATTGCAGTTGGAGACATTGCTATGAACACATGTCTTGCTTAATATAGATACAGATAGATACATAGATAAATATTTATGGATATGTCCATATACATAGGTTACCACACACATATATATTTCCTTGCTCTGTTAGCTGAGAAGGCCTGGAAGCAATGATATCCCAGGAACAAGGAGCACCCCTAGCACCCAGATCTTGGTGTCTAACACCGTTCTCCAACAAAAGGAAACAGGGCACCTTGGAGAAATGGCTGATTCTATCTCCAACAAAAGGAAACAGGGCACCTTGGAGAAATGGCTGATTCTAGGACTAAGGTAGGAAATACACAAGATGATCCTGGGGCAACTATAGTGCCAGAAAGTAGAGAAGTGTGCAGAAATAAAATCCCCAATGATAGGAATATGTCAAAAGGATTCAGAAACCAACTGAAAGAACTCCAGTGCCCAAAGCTGGAACAATTTGAGCAACAAAATAAATGAAATAGTACTGGGTTAGAGCCCAAAGTGTAAAATAAGTATTCATGAGTCCAAGTGATATAGATAAATGATTGAATAAGTAAATAATTGAGAGGGAAGAGGCAAATCTATGCAAAGGAATTCCAAATAGTTCATGTAGACACTGCCCTCAAGGAGAGAGAGGGCGCAGCTCTTCTCTCCTTAAGCATGGGCTGTGCATAGGGACTTCCTTCCAAAGCGTACAGTATTGAATGGGGAAAAATAGAGCAACTTTACAGTGTAGAAGCCTGACCAACACATTAGCCAGGAGTAAGAGTCAACATGACGGTGAAAAGCCATGTTGATACTATGTACCCTTGATAGGGTGTGATGAGAATGGCACTTTGCAGTCTTCCTCCTCAAAACACTGGGGTTACCCAATCCAATAAGGAGGAAAGTGTCAGACTGATCCCAACTGAGGGATTTTCTACAAAGTGTCTGAGCAGTACTCCTCAAAACAGTCAAGGTTATCTAAAATAAGGAAAGCCAGAGACACTGTCACAGTCAAGAGGAGACTAAGGAGACGTGACCAATGGCTACAACATGGCATCCTGCATGGGACTCTGGAAGAGAAAAAGGACACTAGGTAAAAATGAAGGAAATCTGAGTAAACTATGAACCTTAATAAAGAATAATGTATCAACATTGGTTCATTGATTGTGGCAAATGTACCAGACAAATATAAGATGTTAATGAAAGGAAAACTGGGTGTGAAGCGTATGGAAACTCTGTACTACCTTCAGAACTTTTCTGTACATTTAAATCTACTCTATAATGAAAAGTTTATTTAAAATTTTTTAAAAGTTAGTAAGCTATCCCTTTTCTGAAAAGGTTAACTCTTGTTTATATTCAAGGTCAGCAAATAAGACAGCTTTTAGTGGATAGATGATTACAAAGTTAATCATAAAGACCTTTTAAGGCAAGATAACAAATACCTATCTATCATTTATCTATCCTCTATCTATCTATTATCTATCTATCTATCATCTATCTCTGTCTATATCTATCTATCTGTCTATCATCTATGTATTATCTATCCATCTATCATCTTTTTAATTTTTATCTGGCTATCTATCATCTATCTATCTATCTATCTATCTATCTATCTATCTATCTATCAATCATCTATCTATCTATTATCTTTTTAACTTCTATCTGGGACCTGACTCTGAGCTCAGGCACTGTAATGAATAAGAAATATTCCCCACTCTGGATAAACGCAAATCTCCTTGAACTGTGTCTGAGTTTCTATTGCTGTGGGTATTCAGGGTTAAAATGATGCATGCCTGTCTTCTTTGCAAGGGCACAGGCATATAACCCAGCTATGAGGACACACACAGCATTCTGAGTCTAAGGTTTTATGGGTTTTGCTTTGTTTTTAATATATTGGTTGGAATTTCAAAAAATTTCAATATTTGAGGCAAGATAGTGGAAACTTTAGCAACCTCAGGGCACCTTATTGGTCTTGATGTCCTGCTCTCCAGTCGACATCCTGCATCACAGAAGGCTGTACAAATGCTGTGATGGTTTTCACACATTTCACAGCTGAAGTAGCTGAAGGCCGCAGTAGCTCAAGGCCTCAGTGGGGAACACCGAGACTTACCCTTCACTGTGTACATTACAGCTAACACACTGTGTACATTACAGCTAACATTCATAGGTCACCATGGTTATGGTCACTTCTGTTGTTTACAGAAACTTAGTTAAACTTACACCAGTTGAGACCACCAGCCCTACACTGGGCCTGAGCAAACGCCCAAAGAGGTGGCCTTTCAGCGATGGAGAGCCAAAAACTCCACCCTCAGATCATGATAATGCTTCCATTTTCTGTACACATGCCCCATGAAATGCCATGAACCTTGACTGTGCTTGCCCAGAATGAACCTGTTACTTCATTTTTCTCCACTGCCAATCACCTTTCTCCAAGCCTTAGAACACCCCACTTCCCTAACCCATAAAAATCCCCAAGCCTTATCTTCTACTTCCTCACTTGGTGGCCCTGCAAATAACCCTTTTCTCTTTTGCAAAACCTGTGTCACAGTGATTGATTTACTGTGCACAGGCAGAACGGACATGGAACTGGCTGGTAACACCAATCCCCCAGAAAGCCAGTTGTGGAAACATTTACCAAACATTACACCAAGGGTCCACAGCCAGCTTTACTTGAAGAAAAGATGTCTGCATTTTGTGTGGTAATGGCCTCCATATTCTAGCTAGGGTGAACTTTTTGAAAGGCAAATCTGATCTTGTCATTTATTTGCTTAAAACACTTTGCAGGCCAGGCATGGTGGCTCACGCCTGTAATCCCAACACTTTGGGGGGCCAAGACAGGTGAGGAGATCGAGACCATCATGGCCAACATGGTGAAACCCTGTCTCTACTCAAAATACAAAAATTAACCGGGTGTGGTGGTGTGCGCCTGTAGTCTCAGCTACTCAGGAGGCTGAGGCAGGAAGAATTGCTTGAACCCGGGAGGTGGAGGTTGCAGTGAGCCACAATCGCGCCACTGCACTGCAGCCTGGTGACAGGGTGAGACTCCATCTCAAAAAAAAAGGCAACAGCAACAAAAAAACACTTTCCATTGCTGTTAGGATAGAGACCTGAGGATGACTTTTAAGGCCCTACATGACTTGGCCCCTTGTCTCTCACTGGATCTCAGCTGGGGCTGGGTACTGCCAGGTTTTTTCAGCAACTCTAGCAATTCCTCAAATGCTCCGTGCCCCCTTCTGTGATGGGGTCTTTTCAGGCTCTGTAACCTTATGTGTAGGTTTGCCTGGGACTGTCCTGCTTTCAATACTGAAAGTCCCATATCCTGGGAACTCCCTCTGACCCAGCAAAGCCCACTCATGAGGAAACGCTCCACCTTTCTCAAGCCATCTAGTTGCTGTTTGATACTGGCCCAAGCATCATTAAAGCAGAGTTTTCCCTGACTTCCTAACCCTTTACCCATTTCCTTCAACCAAGCAATGTGCCTCCCCCCGCCCCTCGCCCCAGTGATATGCTATGATAATGACTCTACTTCATGGTACAATGCTTATTGCAGTTTTAATGACAAATTCTTTCTTGTGATCATTTGATTAATGTTTCTCTCTTCCTCTGCACAGCAAGGGAATGGGGCCGTATTGGTGTGCATCCCTAATGCCTAGCACAGAGCCCAGCATCCAAGAGCTACTCATGTATTTGTGGAATAAATCAATGAATGAAAGAACTCCCCATCCAATACCTTTTACTGTGGGACTACACCCCTATGGACTGGAGCACAGAATGGCTTAAAGGTGGGGAAAAGAATGGTTTACAGGTGGCAAAGCAGAGGACCAGGGCTTAAAGAAAACAAACAGAAAATGGCTACGAGGGAGTTGGGAGTGTTTCAGAACCAAATCTCTGCCTCTTTCAGTTTCTGCCTATCAAGCCCCAAACATGGAACAGCTCGTAGTTCAAAGTGTCAACATATGACTATTGAATCTGGAAACTCAAACACATACTTTCGTTTCTGGTAAGGCTACACTCCTATTTGAGGCTTATCTTGTAATGCTTGAGCCACCACAATGTAATTGAAGTAGGAAAGCGTCTCATTTCAGAACCACAAGCAAACACTGACACACATCGTCCTTTACACCAAAGGGCTGTGGATCTGGAGCTCCCATGGCCTGTGATTGTGCCCCACCACCGTTTGAAGCCTGGAGCAACATACCTCAAATCCAGCTTTAGATCCAGGTGAAGGCTCTGGAAAATGTAATTCCATGAACACTTTCAGTTTACTGACAACAGTAATTAATTAGTGCTGAAATGGGAGCAGCAAACACTCCTTGTTTGAGGATTGTTTCTTCATTCATTTTCCATGTCCCCCAATTAGGCAACACTCGTGGGTGGGAAGAGCTTTTGCTTTAAGGAATTAGTTAAAAATAAAAAGGATCATTTTGCATACTGCATGCTGCAAGAAAAAGCAGTTCCGCTGTCCTTCACCTCAACCATCACTTCATACATTCCCATTGCTGTCTGCTGGAATCACAACACATTATGCCAACTGGCAATGTCGGTGTGCATTTTTAACTCACTGGGGAGTGAAGCAAGAAAAACATTTTTGTAAGACTATTTAAAAATTATTTGCAAGGGAAACAATTAAAAAAATGTGTGGCCATTTTCTTGATGTTGAAGAAATGCTATATCCAACATCCAGTTCCAGTGGGCCAATTTTCTCCTGCAAGATTTATGAAGCAAACGCTGCCAAGCAGACAGAAATCTAAATAGTAACATGTTTCCTTTTAATAGAACTTTAATTTAATAAGAATAATACTCCCAAATAGCCAGACAGCTTTATAGCACTCTAGTCATGGTATCTCACTTTCCCCCAGAGCCCTGGGGTGATAAGTATGTTCTTGTACATCATCACCAGAGGCTGCCTGGCAACCAGCTGTCAGGATGGCCTGGCTGGGCCTCCGGTCTTCCAGGATTAACTGGGAATTCCATTTCCCAACAAGCACACATATGCCACACCTCTAGGCAGATACTGTAATTTCTACTCAAAAATTCCCACTTCTTGTTTGGTAAATCCACAGTTTGAAGATAATCCCCTAAAGTCTATACCTGCTGATAGGCCATAGGTCATTTTCAAAGCCTTATAGCAAAGTGGTGGGAAGGTTTTATTTTTATTGTTTCTTGGGATGGAATATCTAAATGCAGTAGAGACCCTTTATAAATCACAGGTTGGGGGGTCTACATGGACTTCAATGTTCTAATGTATTATTATCTCTGACTTTTCCTCTAAGCATTTTTAGTATTTCAGGAACTAGCCTTTGAACTACACGGTACACAAATCAATGTAAGATGGAGCCCTGGCACAAGGGGATTCTGCTGTAGTTCACAGTTGGGGCTGAGGAAGTCCATGCATTGAGCTCTGTTTTAACTCTGCATTAATGATTCATCCTTGGGCTATATCCACTCCAGACTAGGCACGTTTGTGGCATGCATGCTGTTCCTCCCTCCACACAAGGCATCAATGACAACCAACTAATCACAGCACCATATCCTGTTAAAACCAAACACAACCTCAGAATCTTCCTCAGCAAGGTGTTCTGCAGAGACACACCAATCCATTCAATGAACTCGGCATTGAAACCTACCTACCATTCCCTGGTTTATCAATTTAGATCATTAAAGAAAACAAAACAAATTACTCTCTAAAACAACTGGCATTTTGGGGAAAGAACTTTGTAATCCATTATTGTAAAAATAAACAATTATTAACTCCTCGTGCATCTCCACTACCTCTCTGTACTTCCATTGCACTTAATCGAGCTGTTAATGTTACTTATAAGCTCCCATGAGAGTGTGTCTGCCTTTGTGCTAGATTGAGTCCCTTGAAAAATAAACAATAATTAACTCCTTGTACATCTCCACTACCTCTCTGTACTTCCACTGTACTTAATCTGAGCTGTTAATGTTACTTATAAGCTCCCATGAGAGTGTGTCTGCCTTTGTGCTAGATTGAGTCCCTTGAATTCAGGCATATGAGGCTCCATTCCGAGCTCTAAGCATACGGCGGGAATACTGTCGTTGCTCCATAAGTGTTTGTTGACTGAATTGGAAGCATTGAGAGGATCTACTCAACCAAATGTCAAGAGTTTCTGGAAGGGAAGCTAAAAACTTTAGGGAGCCCAGGAAGCACTTATGTCATAGGACAAAACCAGGGATGGCCAAATGCAAGGGTATGGGGTAGAGCTTTCAAGCACTTTTATTGCAATTAGAACCACCAAACAGTGTTTCAAAGTGCACTTGCTAATTCAAGGTTTATCTGAACCCGGGGAATGCTTTGGTCAGCAAAACTGGACAGAAAAACCTCCTGAGAACAAACTGTCTCATAAGATTTCCGTTACCTGCTGCTTCCAGTCCGACTGAAAATACCTCGGGGCAGCCTTTCGAATGGTGGTTTTGGCACTTCTTCCCCCAGATGGAGCCCAGAAGTGCAGGAGTGCACAGAAATCAAATGTCCTGGGAGGGGAGTTGATTAAATGTTTTCAAACCTCAAAACAGGAGAAAGAAAAAGAAAAAAATCAGTTCAGGTAGAGTTCAAGTTTTGGGGTCAAGCTTTAGGGACCCCTGGGACTCTTTTGTAGTGAGGCCATTAACTGCCTCCTTGAAATCGTACCCCGGAGAGCTTATCAACAGCAACAGTGTTCAGTCACAGCACTGCCCTTCTTTGTTTTGTGTGGTCCGTTTGTTACAGAGCAAGCCCAGAATCGTGCTGCACTCTGTCTGCTGAAGGCCAGCGTGGGCCAAGTCACAGAAGAATCCAGCATTCATCCCGAGGCAGAGGCTGTCTTTATTTTCCACACTTCCTTCTACTTTCCTCTTGAAATCAGAACTTCAAATGGCTGACCCTTGCGCAGATCTGTTTTTCCTGTGGAGATGGTATCACTTCAAGCTGCTTTTTCACATGGAAAACTTTAAAGCCTCTCGCTGACACAACCACCCTCCCAAGATGCTGACGGATGAAGCTGGAGAAAAACAGGCCAGGGTGTGTTTGAAAACTGGGCAATTTCAAGATTTTTACCTAATTTTGAGTCCTTTCCAGATGTTATCTAGTGTGGTTGACTTTAGGGATAGATTGCTATTTTTCTGAATAGGAAATCGGGCATTTTCACTTGGGTGCAAGAATAATTCATGAAATGGCTGCTGAAGACTCTGAACTGCCGCCTCACCCAGGGGTTCTCCCTTAGGTGCTCACCCCCTTCCCTCTTTGTGATACTGTCTGCTTTTTGCTCTCTGGGAAGGAGTTGTGGGTTTTGATTACTCTTTACAAAAGAAGGCTAACATCATCCCCTGGCTGAAGTAAAACAGAATCACAACATTTTAGAGTACGGTCTGGAAACTTTTTTGTAAAGGACCTGAGAGTCAATATTTTCATCTTCGCAGTCTCTGCCACAACCACTAAACACTGCTGTTGAGAAAGCAGTCAAGGACAAGATGCAAACAAGTGGCATGGGTGCGTTCCAATAAAACTTTATTCATAAAAACAGGCTTCAGGCCAAATGTGGCCCGCCGGCCATAATTTGCACATCCCTGTTTTAGTCGATTCAACTTCTGTTTGCTTCCTTGACTCATGGTTTCCAATAAGGAAAAGTAACTGTGATGACAGATTACTGTTCCTGAAAATGCCCATGCAGTATCTAGATATAGAAATAGTCTTCTTTTTTTGAATCAAATATTTATATATTCAATATTTAATGTTCATCGGGGAATATTCTTAACAAGCAGGTGTTTCAGCTTGGCCATATATCCTGCCAAGAGACGGGTCTCATTGCCTCATCACTCAGCTTGATGATATGAGTGCTGTTTTCAAGACTTGACCTTGGAAGCCAGGGGCAAAAGTGTAACCATTTTTCATCTGAAGCCTCCAGGGAAATTTTAATTTGAATGGCTCCCATTAGGCCTACCCACCTCCGCCCTCCCAATTAGATACAAAACTTCCTTCTCCTCTGATCCTATTCAGTTGGGACGTAGGACTCTACATATTCGGAACCACCCAAGCTGAGACTGGCCCAAGGACTCATAAGAACCCCACCAGGGCCCAGAAATACTGTCCCCACCAGGAAGAGCAGGGACAGAGGAGGTCGGGGAGAGGTCAGCACCCCTCCCCATTCCCTCCAAGTTAGAACATGTGCAGAAGCTATCTGATTGCACCGGTCACTTTCATTAGGTTAACATGTGCACATTTAGCCAAACAGGTGAAATTGATTTATGCCAGGCTTTAAGGGTCAGGGGCTGCCCAAGCACACGGTCTTTGTGTGAGAAGACTGGGATTCTTCTGGGTTGAAATTTGTGAGAAATTCAGTTTGAGTGCACACGCTTTTCACCTCTGAGGCAAGCCTGAGGCCACCTGAATCAGAACCAGATGGATTCTCAGGCCTAAAGACAACAAATAGCAGTTAGGAATCCTGTCGGTAGAAAACCACCAGAGCAAGGGCTGGCCAGAGACACGGCCAACTCCTTTCTAGAACTCCGCAGTGCTGCTGCCCACGAATGCTCACCAGATCTGGAGTTGGGCCTCAGCCCTTTTGTTACCCGCAACGCCAAGAACACCGCATCATTGTAAACCGGTTATTTGAGACTGTTCAAGTGAAACCCGGAGCTCCTTGTCCCTCCAGCCCCCCTTCCTGTGCAATGTGCCCCTTGCAGGGGCTGGTTTGTTTTGGCAGGGCGAGCAGATGCCCTCCCAGTGCTGAGATCTGAGCCCCGACGGGAGGTCAGCAGTGACCTGAAGTCTTGGGTGGCCGCCTTCACGCTTGCACTTCCCCGTCAGCTGATCCCTCTACCACCCACGCACTGGACGGTTCTGCGAGCTCAGAGATTCCTGAAGGAGGGAGTGCCGACCTCCCATGCCCCCACCCCCCACCAGCCTGGCCCCCTGGAAGAGCCTGCCCGCTTGGAAATCTCAGGCTCTGCTTTTTCATAAACAGCGAGGGAGGTGAGCATTTAAACATGTGGTCTGTGAAACATTAGCTTCCAACTGATCATTGAAATGGGGCCTTGTAGACAAATGATGACTTAGCTGTCAAGAAGTTTCTCTAAAATCGCCTTCGAAGAGAGAAGAGGGGTCAATGGACTATTTTTCAGAGACTGGGTTTGTTTGGGGACCCCAATCACAGGAGCATTGCCAGAGTGGACCTTTTTCTTCCCAGCCTGTCATTAAATTCCTGGGCATCGCACTGGAAGTCCAGGAGGGCCCTAGCACCCCCGGAAGTCACCGATCCATCTCCACTGTCATGAGAACAAAGCCGAGGATGCTCACAGGGGTGTGGGGGGTTGGTTTCCATTTCTCTCCTCAAGGCACAAGACACCCATTCAGATCATGGAATAAAATCCCCCTAATTGACTTGCAGCTATTTCCATAGCGTTGCCCAAGCTCTGACCTTAGTCCCGCCCCTGGGAGTCACTATGAAATTCCTGCTGATCGCAGAGCAAAGGAGCATGGAGCTGTGGATAGTGTATAGCTGCAGGTGCCACACCCCTTGGCAGCCCGAGCATCCACGCTGGCCCGGCCACCTGTTGTCCTCTCCTCCCAGGAGGGAGGAAGCAGGTTGGAGTGGGACTCTGCCCTCTCTCTGTCCCATTCACTGCATTGCAAGAAATGAGTAAGGGAAACAGAGCACCGAGGACAGGGCGGGTGCTGGGGGCATCCAGAATTGTGAGAAGGAGGCATGGCCTGGAGCAGCTTCCTCCCCGCAGCAAGGCTTCTGGTGGGTCATGCTCAATGCAAGGGCTTCATGACAGTTGGAGCTGGACTAAGTGGAGGCATCTTTCCTAGGAGTCATCCTGAATGTTTCCTTTGCACAAAGCATTTAAAATCCTCCCAGGAACTAGAGGTCTAGCAATTCCATTCACACAGATGCCCAATGACGGGAAGGGATGGGAAGTATAAGGGGGTACAAAAAGGGCCATTCTTTGTTCTGGTGAGCAGGTGAAGTAAACTCCTATTAAAGAGTTTATTGGTCTCTCTGTGGCTCATGACATTTATTTAGTGCTTGCTGAGTGCCAGGGCTCTGCTAAACACTTTACGTACATTGTTTTACTTGATTCTCACAGCAGCTTTTATTATGCCCATTTGCACAGCAGTAACTGAGGCTTAAAGACAGTGACCTGCCTAAGATGGGGGAGCTGATCTGTGAGGATGATGGAGTGGATTCAAGAGACTTCACTCTTCCCTACGACCGCATCACTCAGGGTTTCATCTAAGGTCACCAGCAACATCTTGGACAGCCATTATACCGACCAGTTTTTCTTTGCGATCACGTTGAGGTGACTGGGGTGTGGGAGAAACCCAAGAAGAGGCTGATGTAGGAGAAATCTAGGTACAGTTTGCATCAAAGACAAGAGGCCCTGCCAGAACCAAAGCATGTGTGCTACAAAGCAGACACACACAAGTGCACACATGTGCACACACACATGCACATGCATGCAGACCATACACACATGCACATATGAACATGTGCATGTACCACACACATGCTACAGGCATGCTGGAGCAGCCCCCTCCCACCAGGCAAGGCTTCCGGTGGGTCGTACCCAGTGCTAGGGTTTCATAAGAGTTGGAGTTGAACTAAATGGAGAAACCTTTCCTAGGAGTTACTTCAACAGCCTGAGAGATCATTAATAGAGGAGAGGGTGTGGCTGCTGAAACAGTGGTCTTTTATCTGTTTTCTCCCATTTCTCTACATCGCACCTCCCTCTAGTGACAGGAGTGAGGGGAAGGTAGGGGAAATGTTGAGGATGGAGCAAGTGCCCTGAAATGCTGTATTCTTGGAAGAGTCAAGTTGGGTGTCTTTGCTTTGTTTTGTTTGAGATAAGGTCTTGCTCTGTTGCCCAGGCTGGAGTATAGTAACACCATCATGACTCACTGCAGCCTCCAACTCAAGCGATCCTCCTGCCTCAGCATCCTAAAGTGCTGAGATTACAGAACACTGTGCCTGGCCGAAGAGTGGAGATTTAAAATCCCAGTAAAGTAGGGAATGTGGCAGTGCTTGTAGGGCGGGCGGGCCCTGCAAGAAGGAGCATGTGTGTGTGCCTGCAGCCTCCAGTGGCTGTCAGACTCTGCTTCAAGGCCCAGGAGGCTCCTGAAGGCCTCTGTATATTTGCCAGGGAGAAGTGGCTGAGAAGTGAACAGGGTTGGTGACGGCACCAGGCCTGATAGCACATCTGGAATCAGGGTGACCTGAATCCTACATCCCAGTCAACCCATGCTGGTGGGTCACAGTATGACTTGAGCCCAATTCCAAAAGCTTCTCCAGCTCAAATGTTTAAAATCCCATCACTAGAGTAGACCCCACTTGAATTCTTAATTTAAAATCTCTCTGTAACTTGTCCTCGTAGGCCCTGGGGTGCACGAGGAGCTAAAATGTGGGATGAGAAGAGAACTGGAACGTGAGAATTAGCCCCTGGTTCTTAACTCTGGCTGCTCCTTACCACGGTTGGGGGAAACATTGAAGAATGTTGAGGCCTGAACCTGGGTCACTCAAGTCAAAGTCTCTTGTCACACAGCTGGGCAGCTGGCAATTTTTTTGAAGTCCCCACCCCACGTGATCCCATTGCTCTGCCAGGTTAAGACCTGTGAGACAGGCTGGATGCAGTGGCTCACGTGTGTAATCCCAGTACTTTGGGAGGCTGAAGTGGGCGGATCACCTGAGGTCAGGAGTTCGAGATCAGCCTGGCCGACATGGTGAAACCCTGTCTCTACTAAAAATACAAAAAAATACCGGGCGTGGTGGCAGGCACCTGTAATCCTGTAATCCAGCTACTCCTGAGGCCGAGGCAGGAGAATCTCTTGAACCTAGGAGGCAGAGGTTGCAGTGAGCCGAGATGGCACCACTGTACTGCAGCCTGGGTGACAGAGCAAGACTCTATCTCAAGGTGGGGGGTGGGAAAGACCTATGAGACAGCAGCAAGGTTGGTGGGGGCCCTAAGAACAGAAAAGCAGGTGGGAAGGAGCCAGGTCACCCCCGCCTCCCACCCATCCGAGCACGAGGATGAGGAAAAGACTGGATTTGTAACAAACAGCAGAACCTAGCCAGAAAATCCAACTTGGCGAATTAGAAGAGAACTACTCTGTGTGTGTGTGTGGGTGTGTGTTAGTGTTTGGGGGAATGCTTAGTTCTCTTTATTGACTGACATTAAGTGCACTAATTAAAATAACTTTCCCTATTCAAATACAAGTGGGAGGGATTAGCAGAATTGGGTAACCACCCACTTCAGCCACTCAGGGCACCAGTGATCCAATATCAAGTAGCAAGGACAAAATAATGCTCAGGCCATTGGATCACTCTGCTCTTTTTTACTTTTTTGAAAGAAACAAAAGGAAGGAAGAGTAGAAGGGAGGGAGGAAGAAGGAATTCCCTTTCAGAAACCTAAATCAAGACGTACCTAGAAATCGACAAACTTGGTGAAAATGTAAGCCCTGGTGTTGTGGCATGTGCTCTTCTCTAAAGATCCTTTGAAGTGGCCAAGTCTGGAAGCCTTTGAAAAAGCTGCAGAGAGTAGATTTTAGGTGCTATTACCAAAAAAAAAAAAAAAAAAAAAAAAAAAAAAAAAAAAAAACCCACAAAAGACAGAAGATAACTTTGGAAGGATGGATATGTTAATTTGCTTGCCTGGCATCATATCAAACATCTTAAATAATAAATATATACAATAAAACATAGCTTTGGAAAAAACAGAAAAGAAAGCTGCTCCAAGCCTTGCTTTCAGCAGAGCGTGATTAAGATGCTCTTCGGGGAGGAGGGGCCCCATCCTTCCAGAGAGGCTGCAAGTGATCAGAGGAGGGACTTGTTCATTTCAGACTTGATAGCTAAGAAGCCAAATTTGTCTTCACATTATTTGAAACTTACGTATCAGGTGTTGCTTGGAGAGGTAACATCTGTCAGAAGGGGTTGCATGTTCATTTTTTAAAAATCTGTACTTTGAAAGATTAAAGTTGACAAACCGGCTCCTTAGTGGTTGAGTCAGAGGCAGGACTGGCAATTTGTAGACATCATCTGTGTTTTCATCACCCCATCAGGAAGCATTTACATTGCACTTTATATTTGCAGCATATTTCACCTTGTATTAGTTTTCTCCAAGGTTTACTATTTAAAAGATTTTGCTGGGTAAAATTACAGAAGTGATTTAACAAAGCAGTCTCATACAAGCCAACCACATTCTGAATAACAGCCCTTGAAATATGTTTGCTTTTTTGTTACAAATAACAAAAATTGAAGTCCGGGAAAAGTCAAATCTTCAGTAGCGTTTACACATATTATTTTCAGAGCAGGACTTTGGAAACTTGGGTCCCTGGGTTTGTATTTTATCTTTTCACCTGTAGAGCCATTCCTCTTCATCTTTCTTGCACGGCAACCTAGTTTGGGTTTTGTTTTTTGTTTTTTGGTTTTTTTTTACCTGTTATTTCACATTTTTATCAATGCACGGCATCTTTTATTTTTTGAAGGAGTCATTGACAAGAAAAAAATTTCCATTTTGATATCATGCAAAATGCAATAAAGAAATGGTAGAGATTCTGTCACTTTAATTTTTAAATCTTCATTGGTTGTTGCCCTTCTTAGTGAAACTATTCCTGTCCCTACTGGGGCTACCGACCACCTCAATCCTTTTGTAAATAGGAGATGCATGAACATGCGTGCGTGTGTCTGTCTGTGTGTGTGTGTACTCAATTTTCAGACTGCTTTGTCTTTATATAATATCTCTGTGAGGGGTGGGGAGAAGGTCACCTTTATATTCTGCAAGATGGAACTAAAACTGAGACTGATTAATCAGTTACCAAGTTCACGAAGGATCTTAGGGAAGCCGTGTAGCAGTAGGGATGAGGGGAGTCATCTGCTAACCAATCATGGAGGTAGATGACCTTGGAGCTTACTTAACCTTAGGCCTTATTATTTTCAACAGCAAAACTGAAATAATATCAGTCATGCTTCATGTTCTGTTATTATGACTATCAAAACTGATCATGGTTGGAAAATGTTTTGTAAACGTCAAATGACTATCCACTGTGTATATCATTATATACTACTATATACATTTGTATTTGTTATTAAAGTCTATACATACTTAATTCATGCATTCTTACTAAAATTGGAGTTGAAGTTATTTCATTTCAGAAAGGGCAGACGCATTTTCTAACTTTGCTAAAGGTAATTTTTTTTTTAGAGAGAGTCTCACACTGTTGCCCAGGCTGGAGTGCTATGGCACGATCTCGGCTCACTGCAACCTCCACCTCCTGGGTTCATGCAATTCTCCTGCTTCAGCCTCCCAAGTAGCTGAGATTACAGGCGCACACCACCACATCAGGCTAATTTTTTGTATTTTTAGTGGAGACGGGGTTTCACTATGTTGGCCAGACTGGTCTCGAACTCCTGACCTCATGATCCACCTGCCTCGGCCTCCCAAAGTGCTGGGATTACAGGCGTGAGCCACCGCGCCCAGCTGGTAAAGGTAATCTTTTGCCCCTTGATACAGTGTAACTGCTTTCTGAAATAATTTTATAAAGAGATTCTCATTTAAGTGAGAATTATTTATAAAAACAAACCTCAAATACCTCTAACAAAAGGTCATTGTAAGGAAAAAGCACATTTTGTGAACTCGAGTAGACTTTAATACTAGTCCTTCAGAGATGTGTGGGATAAGATCACACTGATGAAAAATATATTACTTTCTCTTTCAAGGAATAATATACATCCCCCTCCACTTTTTCCCTTTGCTTTTGGAACAAATATTGAAGAAGTTCTCTCTCTTTTAAAAGCCAGGAAATTTAAGAAACTTTAAAAGAGAAGCTCAGTGGTTTGATGGGCCTGCAGCCAAGACCTCCAGGACCCGGGGAGGCCCGAGTCTCTGAAGGGATCACGCGCCTCGGAGGTGGGCTGAGATGATACCCAACCATGGCTTTTCTCTAGCTTAACTTGAAGGCACGTGTGTCCTGCTGTTCTTTTGAAAGCCTTTTCTGTGTTCTAGGGAACTACCCCAAGAAAATAATCAGAATGTGGACAAGATTTACATTCAAGGAGAGTTATCAGAGTGTTGTTTAGAATAGCAACAATAGAAGAATGTTTATATATATTTTATATGTGTATGTGCATACGTGTAGTCATCGGTATGGTATTTTCAGAGAATGTTTATTAATATGGTAAATACTTTGTGCTACAGTATTTGATGAAAAAGGTAAAACACAAAATCAGGAATGCAATGCTTTCGATTTTATAAATGTATATGTGCACAGGAAAAAAAAGATCAAGTGAAAGTATGTCCAAGGCTGGGCGTGGTAACTCATGCCTGTAATCCCAGCACTTTGGGAGGCCAAGGCAGGCAGATCATTTGAGGTCAGGAGTTCAAGACCAGCCTGGCCAACATGGTGGAACCCCGTCTCTACTAAAAATACAAAAAAATGAGCCACGCATGGTGGCGTGCACCTGTAATCCCAGCTACTTGGGAGGCTGAGGCACGAGAATCCCTTGAACCCAGGAGGTGGAGGTTGCAGTGAGCCGAGATCACGCCACTGGGTAACAAACTGAGGCCCTGCCTCAAAAAAAAAAAAAAAAAAAATAGAAAATATCTTCAAATAATACTCATGGCTATCTCCCAGTGATAGGTATGAGGAAATTTAATTTCTTCTTATGCTTTGCTGTATTTTCTACAATAATTATATATTATAATTGAAAAGACAGTTTGTTGTTTTTATCAAGAAAGTTTTTTCCAAAGATGTGAGTTCTAGTGGAGCATGGTGGCATGCACCTGTAGTCCCAGTTACTTGGGAGGCTGAAACAGGAGGATCACTTGAGCCTCAGAGTACAAGTCTAGCCTGGGAAACATAGTAAGACCTTGTCTCTAAAATAAGTAAATAAATAAATAGATAAAATTAAGAAATGTAAGTTCTGTTCTGACTCAGCAATAAATCTGTGTAGAATAAGAACTTATTTTTTCAACACTTGGCTTATCTTTGTATAGCCCTTCTTTTGGCTGTAGCTTCTGCTGGACTAAGCATTGTGTCTGTAACCATCCCAGAGCCGTGACAACGAGACTCCACAAGGAAGGCAAGTGGAGGACTTGAAGCAATCAATTCACGTGTTCACTGACCCAGCAAATGCTTCTTGATCTGCTGCACTTTTGGGCATGTTTTCAGGTATTTTATATTTAGAAACTCAGTATGATGGGCATGGGAGAAGAGATTAGGGCCATGGTTTGAGGCTTCTTTTCTTTTGGAAGCTATGTCCAGCTAAATATTTCTCAAATATGTCAGTTCTTCTCATCCTGAACAGATTAGCAAAACTCTCCGAAAGATGACCTTTGAGTTCTTGACTTCAAAAAGTATTTAACAATCATGTTCTGTGTGTCCAATACTGTGCTAGGACCTTGGATATGGAAAAGAAGAGTAATGAACAATCTCTACCTTCAGGCAAGGCATCAGTGTTTTCCTATTGTGTAGACTGCTTGGTTTGACCACCATTAATAATTACTGTCTATTATGTAGAGAGGAGAAGGCAATATTTTTTGATTACCCCATTGGATACTTCAAACTTTGCCATTATGAATTTCTACTCTATCAGTTACTTGATATTCAAGTACTCCCCTCCTAATTCTTTTTTTCAGACGGAGTCTGGCTCTGCCACCCAGGCTGGAGTGTAGTGGTGCGATCTTGGCTCACTGCAACCTCGGCCTCCCAGGTTCAAGCTATTCTCCTGCGTCAGCCTTCCAAGTAGCTAGGATTTCAGGCACATGCCACCATGGCCAACTAATTTTTTAATTTTTAGTAGAGACAGGGTTTCACCATGTTGGCCAGGCTGGTCCTGAACTCCTGACCTCAGGTGATCCACCCGCCTCGACCTCCCAAAGTGCTGGGATTACAGGCGTGAGCCACCACGCCCACCTGCCCCCTCCTAATTCTTTTGGTAGACTTTAATGTACCCTGACAAATAAAAACAATGGCCTTTCTGTCTATTTATAAATCATGTGAAACCTATGTGGACCAGAGAACATCCTAATCTCTAGTCTTCTGGATGTTTAAAATAAAGCGGCTTTCATTGAGTACATGTTATAATTCTAGATATTTTAACACTAGATTAATCAAGATCACCCAGGATTTAAGTATTTATCTCAAACAATATGCAAAAGTAGTCTGTGATTTTTCCTAAAACTCCCACTTCTGGACACTCCTTGAGGTCCAGATACTGACTCTCCCCAACTCACTATGTGTTTAAAAGTATCAAGAATATCAGTGAGTGAGTATTCAGTAACCTAGCAAAGCTAACAGGATATACGGGATGAAGGCTTGTAATGAATACTGCATTTATCAGCAAAATCATAAGAATTTTCCCTCTGTGTACTCAACATTTTTTAGGTATGTGCAGCCATTATAGCAGAGCTTTTCAGCCTTCAGTGTGCCCAGGAATCCCCTGGGACCATGGGGGATCTGTTAAAATGCAGATCCTGGGAGGGCTGGGTGGCCCTGAAAGTCTGAGTTTTAACAAGATCAGGTGATGCTGATGCTGCCGGTCCATGGGCCACACTGAGTCACCGGGGTCTTTAGATTTATCTCATAGAGAGAAACACGAGCATTGGAAGGAAATTCTGAACTATTGAAAATAAAGAAATCTTCTTTTACAGCCAGATAATATGCCCCAGGGAACTCTTTGAGGTGTGTGATGGGATATAGCCTTTGGAAGGCCATGCATGATTGAGTCACTGTTAAGGCCCCTGTGAGTCTAGCACATTACAAAAAGGCCTCGGAGGTGGGAATTGCAGCGAATAAGGATGTCCTGGCAGCCCAAAGCCTTGCAGGTGGGGCGTGGAAGCAGCATCTCTTCAAACATACAGGCCAAGTGAGATATGAAGTGTGAAATTGCTTTGCAAAGTACAATATAAATGTCAGGTGATATTATCATCATCATTGTTTTGCACAATGTGTACTGGGTCCTGAGGCACAGTCTTGGTGGCTGTGGAAAATAAAAGAATTGCAATTCCTATTCTAGAAAGCACCGAGGCACTTCACTGCAGGTTTCTTGAGGTTAAGGCTTGGGCCATATGTAGGGATGGGGCAGGTGGTTCACGCTGACCCCTGTCTCTTCCCTGTCTTAATATCAGCTTAGTTCTCTATTTACTCCAGGCTGCCTTCATCCCTTTTCCTACCCACACCCGCGACCAAGCCTTTCCCAGCACGCAGTGCTAGAATGAGCTGTTTGACCTGTCTTCCTTACTCAAATTCTCTGTATAGCTTTTATCTCTGACCTCACCCAATGCCTCTCACTCCCTACCCTTCACGGAACAAAACGTAGTACAGTATAGGGCAAATTTGCTCATCTAATCGTCAGCCTTAAGAAGTAAAAACAACAGTCTGGCTTCCCCCTTTATGTTTTAGATTTTCCATCCATACATCTATCTGTCTGTCTTATCTATCTACACATGTGTATGCATATATGCATATATTTTTTCTGCACTTATATTTTTCATGAGGTTGAAATTTCTCAGTCTTTGTTGCTGCATGTGGTTCATGATGCTATTTTATTTTATTTTGTTGCATATATCTGTATTGTGGGTTGATCTTGGACAGTTAACATTATTATGATGCTTCCCTTGTTGGTATATGCTAATCTATCTATGCTCTTGTTAGCCCACTCTCAATGCAAACAGTGTTTGCTCAAGAGTAGGAACTGTTTTCATTTGCTTGAGTCTCTGATAGAAACTATTCAGAGGATGACATTGCCTTGCTCTTGACAGCTCAAACTTTATCTGATTGGGTGTATTTTGGGAACTGGGAGAAGTAATTGGACTTCAAAGCCCCAATTGTTATCAGTGGATTCTCAGCTAGAATAAAAAAAAATGGAAAATTCCTGATCAAATGTTTAACAGCAGTGGACCATAAGAAGTGCATAGTCTGGCACATCATTCCTCATTTAACATTTATTCAGCAACTATTTATTGACCACTTACTGTGATCAAGGATCTTGGTGAACATTGAACAGTGAATATTGTTGTGGTCCTGAAGATACTCATAGCCTGTGTGTATATGTGTGCTAGTATGTATGTATCTAAATAAGCATGTCTGTTCCAAAGTATGTGGGTCTAAATGTGTACGTGTGTGTGTGGTACAGACAGGGAGAGTGCTCACAGGGTGGATAGACAAACAGACTTCTTCAAAATTGCCTGTCAAAGCATAGTAGAAGTAAGCCCAGAGCACTGAGAGGAACCAGACCCAGACTCGAAGTTTACAGGAAGGATTTCCACCAGAGCAACAGCAAAACTGAGACTTGAAGGTTGAATAGGAATGGAGCCACACAATGTGTAGGAGGAACAAAGATGTTTTAGTTAGAGGAAAAGGCATATCCAAGGCCCAAAGTGAGACTGTTTCAGCATGAATATGGCTTTGAGTGTGACACAGGAGTGTAATCACCTGACAGGTTCATCTTGCCCACCACCCACAAAAGCTGGTGCACTGAAAACAGCAGGTCTTTGCAATAGAGAAAGAGTTTAATACATGCAGAGCCAGCTATGTGGAAGCACAGCAGTTTGTTATTACTCAAACCAGCTTCTCCGAACATTTGGAGGATAGGGTTTTTTAAGGATAGTTTGATGGGTGAGGGGCTAGGGAATGAGGAATGCTGATTGGCTGGGTCAGGAATTAAATCACAGGGGGTTGAAGCTGTCTTCTTGTGCTGACCCAGTTCCTGGGTAGGGGCCAAAAGACCAGATGAACTAGCAGTCTGGGGGGTGCCAGCTGATCCATCAGAATGCAGAGTTTGAAAAATGCCTCAAACACCAATCTTAGGTTTTACAATAGGAGCAGTTGGGGAGGTTTCAGATCTTATGACCACTGGAATAATGGCTGGTTATCCTTCAACTACGCCTACATCTTAGCAGAGTTCGGACCCCTCCCTAATCTTGTAGCCTTTCATTAGTTTTTCAAAGGCAATTTGGTATCTAAACAAGGAATGCATAGCTTTGCAAAAGGCTGTTATCATCCTTGCTTTAAGGTTAAACTATAAACTAAATTCCTCCCAAAGTTAGCTTGGCCTATGCCCAGCAATGAAGAAGGAGAACTTAGAGCTAAGAAGCCAAATGAAGTTAGCTATGTCAGAGTTCTCCTACTGTCATAATTTTGCAAAGGCAGTTTCAGGAGGACCTGTGAGAGTCAACGTGGGGGAGTTAAGAGACCAGATCACACCTCCAAGCCCCAAGTGTGAGACGGAAGCTCCATAGCACATTTCCATTCTGCTAGAGTAACAGTCCCTAGAATAGCGCTCTGTGGTTTGTTCACTGGGAGAGCCTGAAAATCCTCCTGCTCTGTCTTCACCCCCACTTCTTCCTGCTCAGTGTAATCATGTAATCATTGCACAAGACTCAAGAAGACCGTAGTGTGTTTGGTGTGAGACAGAAGGAGAGCTAGACCTCTCTTTCCACTGAAGCCACACACTCTTTGTGAACAAGCAGTGTTTGTACCCCTTTGTAAGATATTCCAGCACTGTGAGGCATCTGAACAAACGTTTTAATAGATACCACACTCTGCTCCCCCGTGGTCAGGCAAGAACATGAAGGCCTCTTTCCTGCACCCAATGGTGTGGATTGCAGATTTAGGCGAGTTGATGTAAAAGATCTGATGGGGCTGCTTGGACGGATTTCCAAATAAGCAGTTTCTCACGAACGTGGAGCAGAGTGATGCAGAGACCTACAATGTGATGAAAGAAGTCCAAGACAGCATCAGAAATGACCCATTAGAGGGGAACGGGGGCAGAGGTGATCAGCGTCCCAGCTTTTGCTAAATGTAACATGACTAGCCAAGAAAGAGAAGTCATTATTGAGAAAATGTGGAAGTCCAGCCAAGAGTTTGGGTGACGGAAAATTAAATATAGTTGAGACATAAAATTTTACAATATAGGGATTGTAGGATGATTGGAAGGCTTTCATAGTTTAAGAATGCAGTTCAATGGACCATCTCTTAGCATTATCCTGGAAGCTTATACTTTTGATTAAAACCACACAAATCTATCTTAGAAATTCAGGAAAGTGTGTGCATACCTTAAACCCACACATGCTACCACCTGGACGACTAGTGTTTTCATTTTCTTTCTATCTAACTTAATTAAAGTGGCCATGGCCAAGCTGGAATTCCTATGTGAACTTGGTGTAGAAAATTCAAAGAGGTTAGAGATTTTTAAAAGATTATTTAAGAGTTTACGCATAGGATCATTTTCAAGGGATATAGGCCAGACACAAATATAGCCACAGTGCTTGGAAAAATGACCATAAATATGCTTTGGTGCTGCCTACCTGGAGGGGCTTGAGGCTGAGCAGGGATAGCACGACCTGACCCATGTGAATAGTTCTATGATCGATCACGTGCAGATTTGGAGGGGGTGGTGATCGAGGAGGGAGGAGGTGAGCTGGAGACAGGCTAGATTTGAGTCCTGGCTGTGGTCCTCTCCAGATGTCGCTTTGTTCATTTCTACGTTGTCTGCTTCACTTACATCCACTTTCCTGACTCAGCCAGCTCCCAAGCACTCATGTAATTGCACTGGGGCAGGAAGATGAGAGAGTGCTGAGGTTTGGAATTACTAAGGCCAAGATCTGTCACACCAGAGAGCATTGTGTGCCATGAACAAGAAGCCCAAAGGAATAAAAAGTAATCAAATAATAATCATGGTTTTGAGGTGTTTAGCAGATCTGAATTTCCACAACATGCTAAATAATAAAAATGTTTCTCAAGAAACATCTACCCTAATAAGAAGGAATCTCATGGTCTTAAATCAGCTGAGTTCAGTTCAATGAGCATATATTGAGATTCTCTTATATTTGAGGTGCTGTGAAAAACAATGGGAATAAGAAGAGGAATCACATGTGTGCACATCGGTGACAATTCTATCCCTCTCTATCCCTACTGCAAACAGAATTGCGATGTATCTACAGGAACGGCCAACCTCAGTTGCTTACCAGTTCTGGGCGAGGCACTGTGCTAGGCCCTGAGGCTATAGAATTTATTATGACAAAGTTCTCGTTCCTAGGAGCTCATATACAATGACTATTGCCTTCTTTCTCCTGCTTGATAAAGCTCATAAACTCTCAGCATCAAAAAAGTCATCATGCAGTACAGGAATAAAACCCTAAAAGATGCCAAAACTTGGTCTAGCTTTTTGGGAACATGATCAAGAGGAAAAAAAAAAAGAGAGAGAGAGAGATACAAGAATGAGGGAAAAGTTTCAGTCACTTCCTTCGCATTAAATTTTAAGTTATGTATATTCTGACTTGGCACACTTTCATCTTCTGTGGCTGTTTTATTCCCATGTATTCTAAATATGCCTGCAAGAATTAGCAAAAAAAAATCTCAAAACAGGAAATATAGTTAAATGTAGATTTCAGATAAAGAATGAATAGCTTATTATAAGCTATAAAAAGTTATTCATTCTTATCTGAAATCCAAATTTAACTGTCATGAATTTTATCTGGTAATGCTAATTAGGAGTTAGCTCTGTGGGTTTATTTATTTATTTTTTGCTTTTTTTTTTTTTTTGAGACAGAGTCTCACTCCATTGCCCAGGCTAGAGTGCAGTGGCGCCATCTCGGCTCACTGCAACCTCCGCCTCCCGGGTTCAAGAAATTCTCCTGCTGCAGCCTCCCGAGTAGCTGGGACTACAGGCACTTGCCACCACACCTGGCTAATTTTTTTATTTTTAGTAGAGACGGGGTTTCAGAATGTTGGCCAGGCTGGTCTTGAACTCCTGACCTCAGGTGATCTCCTCTTCTTGGCCTCCCAAAGTGCTAGGATTACAGGTGTGAGCCAATGCGTCTGGCCAGCTCTGTGTTTATAGAGAAGATGTACTGCATTCTCCTGGGGGGTACTCAGTCTTACACCTGAGCAAGCTCTATGCTTAAAGTTCTCTCTAGATCCTGGGATTCAGTTAGTCTAAAAGCTCAAAACTTTTGTTTTATCCATCTTTGATTTAAGCTAAGAATATTTGCCTGCTTCTTTGAAGAATTTTATTAGCTTTTTACTTGCTGCTTTTTAATTTTCATTTGGTCCTGGTCTATATTATATTCTTGATCTTATTTTCTAAAATCGATTGGCATATGCAATCCTATCTAGTCGTCATGTGGAAAATCAGTCCATTTTAATCAAGTGAGGCATTACATAGTACCTCCCAAAAAAGTTCTCATCGTCAACCCAAATTTTGCTGGTAAAGGGAAAAAAGCAACGAGAATAATGGCAGAGTTTGTCCTGCTGAGAATGTGATACCAGCAATATTCTTTATATGGGACATTTGGTTTCAAATACATAACCTCTTTAGTTAAATTTAAATTAGTTAAACTCACTTATTTATTCACAGATATTTAAATGCCCATGTGGGAGCCACCATGGGCAGCAACAGAGACTGGCACCTGCTTGTGCAGAGCGGGCAGCCCATAGCTGTGTGGCCAACCAGGTGGCTGCCAGCCACATGTAGCTACTTGAATTTAAATTTAAATTAATAAAAATCACATGCTGTGTGATATGGTTTGGCTGTGTCCCCACCCAGATCTCACCTTGAATTGTAATAATCCCCATGTGTCAAAGGTAGGGTCAGGTAGAGATAATTGAACCATGGGGCAGTTTCCCCCATACTATTCTTGTGGTAATAAATAAGTCTCAAGAAATCTGATGGTTTTATAAGTGGGAGTTCCCCTGTACAAACTCTCTTGCCTGCTACCATGTAAGACATAACTTTGCTCTTCATTTGCTGTCTGCCATGATTGTGAGGCTTCCCCAGCCATGTGGAACTGTGAGTCAGTTAAAATTCTTTCCTTTATAAATTACCCAGTCTCTCGTATGTCTTTATTAGCAGCGTGAGAACAGACTAATACACCATGCTAGCCACATTTCAAGTACTCAATAGCCACATGGGGCTAATGGTTACTGTGTTAGACAGCACAGACTATGGAATGCTTCCAGCAGTGCCCGGTGTCCTACAGGACAGTGCAGAGCTATAGGGAAGCAAAGGTGGGATGATTAATTTCTCAAATTATTACTTATAGTAATTGCAAATATGTTACCTCCCATGAAATAGACATCCAAGGAGTTATACGGTCACATAACTAGAGAAGCCTCTCTGAGGAAGGGATGTTTGATGTGCAGTGGAAAGTAATGCACAGGTGGCTACGGGACAGAGAGCTGTCTGGGTAGAGGGGCTGGTGCAAACCAAGGTCCTCAGGGGCAGGGAAAAAAAAGCATTAGAGGAACAGACAGAGGCATGAAGGAAAAAGAGAAAAAAGGCACAAAAGGAACTTGGAGCAGGAGCCTGGAGGGCTGTGGTGAAGACCAGAGGGTTTATCTGAAGAGCCAAAGAAGGGTTGAAGTGATGTGTTGAGATCCACACTGCCTGCTGGGCAGTGTTAACTGAATAATGAGGTTCATATTTTTGGAAAGGAGAGATTTCTCATACAGGGTTGCATCCTGCAGGGTAGCCATTCTGACAGGTTGGGAAGCGTAGCCTCTGGCCAGAAGCTAGAAACAGACACTTAGAAGGTGGGAAGAATGTAAAAGGGATTTATGCTGAACCAGGTGACCAAATGCACATATTCAGTAAGCTACAGAAGGAGGCACGAATGGAGAAACGTGCACATGTGCAATTGAGCTTCATGCCTCTTCATGGGTGGCATGTACAAAAAAATGACAGTGCTAGCATAACCTGAGAGTGGAGTGTTTGGCCCTCTGAGATCAGAAGGTGAAGTGGAGGACAGGAAAACCCTTAGTATGCAATCTCCATAGACTCAGCAGAACCACTCTGTGGTTGGTGGTTTCTTATCAGGAAGGAACGCAGTTGTGTTGAAACCACAAAAGGGAGGGGCAGAAGTCAGGAGATTCTTCAAAATCAGCAATGGAGCTAGTCTTTCAAAACAGCTGGTTTCTGTTTAACCATTGAGGAAGAAAACCTAGTGGCGGTTAGCAAGGGAGCGGGTATAGCAAGGCGTGTCTGACCTTCTATCCATCATGGCCATGAACTCAGTTTTTACAGTTTCTCTAGGGTTCCCCTGGCCAAGAGAGTGTCTGCTCAGTTGGTTGAGGGGCTTAGGATTTTATCTTTATTTCTCAGCAGCAAAGTGAGCACTGAGACACCAGGTGTATGCTGTTGCAGGGATCCAGGTGGGAGAGAGTATGGCAGCTGGGAAAGTGTAACAAGCACCACAGACTGAGAGACTTGAACAACAGAGACTGGTCTCCTCACAGTCTTTGGGGCTGTGAGTCTGAGATCAAGGGGTCGTCAGGGTTGGTTTCCCCTGAGGCCTCTCTCCTGGGCTGGTGGAGGGTTGGCTTCTCCCTGTGTCCCCACATGGTCTTCCCTCTCTGCATGTCTGCGTCCTCATGTCCTCTTCTGATAAGGGCACCAGTCAGATTGGGTTAGGACCCACCCTAATGACCTTGTTTTAATTTAATTACCTCTTAAAAAACCCATTTCCAAATACAGCCACGTTCTTAAGTACTGGGGTTTAGGACTTTAACATAGGAATTTGGGGAGAACCAGTTCAGCAAGTTTAACTGTTCAACTAGTGTCAGAGGGATCTTAGCATGAAGGTCAAGTAGGTTCATCGTATGTCACTGGCTTATGCCCCTACCCACCCGGATAGCCGAGAGACACATTCAACTCGAGAAACACACAGGACAGAAAAACGGTCTCCACTTTAGAAGCTCTAGTCACAACATATTTGAAGGAGTTCAATAAAAAGAAAGGGAGATGGGCAGAAGTTAGTGCTCTACCAGAGCTATGTGATGATGTGAGTTCTAATTGCCCACTATAGTCCTCATGACTCCCGCTTGGGAGTTTCGGGTTAGCAGATTGGCAGGGCTGTAGCTCCCAGCAGCTTGGCTGCAACCTTCCCCCATCTCCCTCTGGTTTGCCTCCTCTCTCTTTGGGAATGGCCTTCTCAGTCCTGTCTACCTCGCTAGTTGCCTCTCAGCTTAGACATCGGCTCCTCTGGAAGGGGTTGAAGCTTTGCAGGAGGTGTAAATGCTTTGGCTGCCCTGCCAAGTAGCAGACCACTGGGCAGGGCCCATGTGAGCAGCAACTCTGAAGTTCTCCTTTACAAATCAAAACTACCAATAAAATTATCTTAAATAAATTTCTGATTGTCATCAAGGGTCAACCAGGTAAACCCGAAGACTAATGGCAAAAGGAAACGTTTTTCTCTGGAAGTAACAAAACAATTTTTAACTGAAAATTTCAAGAGCCCAGAAAAGTCATAAAAGAAGTCTGACATTTTTTTAAAAAGTGGGCCGGGTGTGGTGGTTCATGCCTGTAATCACAGCACATTGGGAGGCTGAGACAAGCAAATCTCTTGAGCCCAGGAATTTGAGACCAGCCTGGGCAACATGCCAAGACCCTGTCTCTACAAAAAATAGCCAGGCATGGTGGCGCGGACCCATGGTCTCAGCCACTCAGGAGGCTGAGGTGAGAGGATCGCTTGAGCCTGGGAGGTTAAGGCCACAGTGAGCCATGACTGCATCACTGCACTCCGGCCTGGGTGACAAAGTGAGATCCTGTCTCAAAAAAAGAAAACAAGTGTGTGAGTCTGTGTGTGTGTGTGTGTGTGTGTGAGAGAGAGAGAGAGAGAAAGAGAGGGAGAGAGAGACAATTCATAGAAGGAGTTAGATCTAAGGCAAGCTAACTTTCTAGGGGAACTACTGTTTTGAGCACTTTACTTGTATTGTGTCATTTAATCCTCACAGCAGCTCATGAAGTAGATATCACATCCACATTTAAGAAGTGAGGAAATGGAGTACTGTAAATACTTGGCCGAGGTCAGACTAACTACTAAGCAGCCGAATCAAGATTTAAACCTATGTTTGTGTAATTCTACAACATGGGCTCTTAAAAGCTGCGCTACAGGTAAAAGATCAGAGAAGACATAGCAGGTATCCAGCAAGGTCAGGATGTTGAGAAGTGACTGAGTGATTGAATTGTCACTGTCCCTAGTTTGACGGTGAGGGATGCACAGAGAAACAGCCCCACCTCATATTGCTCAAACGACCGAGTATTGGTCCATCCTCTCTAGAAGAGCATTTGTAAAAAAGAGACTTAAACAAGCACAATTCTTCTTCAGGAATCCAACCTAAAAATAGTCAGAAACTCCAGAAAAGCATTGCAATAAATTGTTATATAATGTTAATGTTACATTATGTAGCCATCTAAATGGTACTATTGAAAAAAACATGTTTTCTAATGATATTAGAAAATGCTTTCATGACTAAGAAAAGAATTTCAAGAAGAATACTTGTATATACATATAGTATTATCCTAATTTTGTTATTTTTAAAGAACATATACATGTGCTTAGAAAAAAAAATCACTGGAAAAAGCCCACAAAATAATGGCTACTCCTGAGTATTGTATCTACTAGTGATTTATATTTTCTTCTTTAAATTTTTGTTTTCCAAATTCTCTATAATGAGCATGTATTGTTTTAGAATTAAAATATTAATAGTAGAACAATTTTAAAAGGTCAAATAATAAATTTATGCCATGTTATGGGAATAGTTCTTTGACTTCTTAAATAATAAAAGAAATAATAAAGAAAATGGGAAAATAATAAGGAAAACAATGAAATAGGAAAAACTGGAAGTAAAGGCAAGTGACAAAAGTTTATTAATTGAATAGAATTTGTAATAGTAACATACTGGAAATAATACGTGCAATGATGAGGTTAATTATGTTAATCATAATATATAAGTCTGCAGGTATTTGTAAACAGCTACAAGCTAAGAACGTAAAGACTTGGGAGATGTATATATCTCTCTTCTGACACCATCACTCTTTGAGGTCACCAATGACATCCACACAGTTAAATCCAATGGCAAATTCCCAGTCCTGTCAATTGACTCCTCCTTTGACCCATTGGCAACTTCCTCCTCTTTGACATTCTTTCTGCCCTTGACTTCCAGAACACTCCAGGCTTTCTTCCTGCTTTAACTGGCTACTATTTCTCCGTCTTTTTTTGAGGGTTCTGTCTCCCCTTTGGGAAACAACAGTTCAGTGTTCTGAGTCTTGGTCCTCAGTCCTTACCTCCTTTCTATTTACATTCATCTCTGGGTGATCTGATGATGTAGGTCTATAGGCTGACAATTCTTAAATGTCTCTGTCTAGCCCAGATCCTCCCATAACTCTGGACTCCTATCTCTATCACCTCCACATGAATTTCCAACAGACAGGTCCAATTTAGTACATCATACACACACACACACACACACACACACACACACACACATACATGATAAATAGTACATGACCTTCAGAGCCTAAAATATTTGCTATCTGGCCCTTTTCAGAAAAAGTTGATCAATATAATATGTATATAATCTTCACATTAAATTAATAAGAATAAAAGTTCTGTTATTACAATATCAAAACATATATGTAAAATCACATTATATGAAATATCGCAAAATGAGAGAATGCATAAAGATGAGAAGAGACCAAAAATTGATAGCTGTTTTTACGCATTCATTCATTATCCAATATTCTTGAGACAATTAACTATGTGTCAGACCTTGTTTCTGTGCAGAAGAAACATCAATGATGAAAACAGACAGAAGCCAATGCCCTGTGGAGCTTACATTCTAGCAGGAGGGAGGCAGATGGTTAACAATAAGTATTTAGTATGCTCCAAAGTCAGTGCTGTGGAAAAGGTGTGTTGTCGCAGGATTGTAAATAGAGTAGGCCATGCATGTCTCATTGAGAAGGTGAGGGATGATCAAAACCTGGAAGGAGGTAAAGGCGTTATCAATATGGGTTGTGGGCAGAAGCACATTCCAGGCAGAGGCCCTGAGGCTAGAGAGTACCGGGAATGATGAGGAATAGCAGGAGAGCCATCCACTGGACCTCCATGAGTTAGAGAGGTGGTGGGGTGGGGTCAGGGCTTTGAAGACCTTTTGAAGGACTGAGAACAGTGTTTGAACAGAGGACAGGAGTGACATAGTGTGAGCCCCATCTTCAAGGAGTTGCTATGGCTGCTGTGTTCATAATGGACTTTAGGGGCTGGGGTGGCATCTGGGACCCCAGCTGGAAAACTGACTGTAGTAGTCCAGAAAAGAAAGCCATATTGGTGGCGCAAATAGTTAGAGGTGATCAGATTCTGACATATTTTTGAAGATAAGGCAGAGTCAAAATGATTTCTTCCTGGATTATGTGGTGGGAGAGTCAAGAATAACATCAACATTTTTGGACCAAGCAACTGGCAGGGTGGAGTCACCAATTAACTAGATGGGGATGACTCTCTGTGGGGTCAGCTTTTGTTGTACTAAATTGGACCTGTCTGTTGGAAATTCAGGTGGAGGTGTTAGATATAGGAGTCTAGAGTTGTGGGACGATCTGGGCTAGACAGACATCTGGGAATTGTCAGCATATAGACCTAAGTCATCGGATCATCCAGGGGTGAATGTAACCAGTTCAGAACACTGAACTGTTGTGTCCCAAAGGGGAGAAGAAACCTGCAAAAGAGACGGAGAAATAGTAGCCAGTTAAAGTAGGCAGAAAGCCTGGAGTGTTCTGGAAGTCAAGGGTAGAAAGAGTGTCAAAGAGGAGGAAGTTGCCAATGGGTCAGAGGAGGAGTCAGTTGATAAGCCCAGGAATTTGCCATTGGATGTAGCCATGTGGACATCATTAGTAACCTCGAAGGGAATAGGCTTAGTAGAATGATGGCATCGGAAGCCCAGTTGGAAGAACTTAAGAGAGAATGAGAGGACAAGAATTGGAAAGAGCAAATGTGGACAGCATTTCTGAGAGATTTTCTTGCAAAAGACAGCAAAGTAGAACCATAGATAGAATGAAAATTGCAGTCCAGAGAGGTTTTTTTTTCTCTCTTGCCAGAAGAAATAACAGCACGTCTGCTTGCTTATATGAATTATCCAGTAAGGCAGGAAGATTTGATGATGTAGGAAAAGAGGCTCCTTGGATGCTGGACTGATGTCCTTGAGTAAGCAAGAGATGGGATCCAGGGCCCAGATGGAGAGTCTGACTTTAGACAGTGACAGGGTTCAGAACATGCTACACCAAAATATGGCATCTCGGCGCTTGAGAAAACAGAAGCAGAAAGGCCACTCTCCCTTTCCCATTCCCTTCTTCGTGAAGCACGTCATGAGACCTAGGAAGGTCACTCTGACCTTCTCCTTCTCCCTCGCTCGTCTCCTGAAGACAGGAAGGAATGTCACAGAGGGACACCAACACCAAGAAGACTCTGAACAAACTAGCCTTAAGTTCCCCCTAGTTGTTACCATTAGATCCGGAGTTCGAGACCAGCCTGACCCACATGGTGAAGCCCCATCTCTACTAAAAATACAAAATTAGCTGGGCATGGTGGCAGGCGCCTGTAATTCCAGTTACTCAGGAGGCTGAGGCGGGAGAATCACTTGAACCTGGAAGGCTGAGGTGGCAGCGAGCCGAGATCGCGCCACTGCACTCCAACCTGGGCAACAGAGCTAGACTCCATCTCAAAAAAAAAAAGAAAGTATAAGCAATTTAATTAATGGAGCAAACATTTATGTCTAGGTCTGACTCAATGCCCTTATTTAAATCTTTTCTTTTAACCATTATGATAAAATATCCATAACATGAAATTTAGCAACTTAGTCATTTTTAAGTGAGCAGTTCAGTGGCATTAAGTACCTTCACATTGTACAACCATCACTGCCGTCCATCTCCAAGCCTCTTACACCTTCCCACAATGAAATTCTGTACTCGTTGAATTAAAACTCCCCAATTTAATTATTTTAAATACACAAATGTATTATAAAAACAAACTAGACTGCCTTTACTAAATATAAATATTACATTAAAGAGAAGAGGTTGAGGCATTTTTGGCAATGCTGTTAATATAAAAAATACTCATTAAAGAAATCTTGTAAACTATAGGCCAGGAGAACTGCCCTTAAGTCTTAAGTGCTGAGATAAGGGAAGCTAAGGGAAACTGGTGACGTCCCCTCCCAGGCTCTTTCTGGGTGCCCCACAGAGTCTGGACTCAGCAGACAGGTGCTCAGAGGGCAGGTGAGAGAGGAGCTCTTTCTGCTCCTCACAGAGCCATCATCACAGTGGGGGCCTGGGCAGTCTGCACACCTGCCCGGCCAAAGCTCACTCACTCTCCAAGAGCATGGGGACCGCCAGCTCCAGAGGGTCTCAGCTTTGCTTCAGTCCTGAGCTTACCTCACTCTTACCTGAGCAGGTCAAGTCCCTCTCGACCTTCAAGACCACAGCTCGTTCCCTCGAGACCACAGCTTGTCTCCTCCTCAGAGGCCAGCAGGCCACTCACATGAGTCCACTAGGTGCTCCTGCAGGTGCCGGCAACTCTTGCATAGGAAACAAGGAATCCTCCCAAATGACTCTGAGTTACAGATAGAGTAGCAGTGAGACTTAGGTGATTTCTAGCCTGATTCCCTTTCCAAAGAGAGTACCCGAGCACCCTCCTCATCCCTCTGATATTAGTAATTACAAAGCCTCAGACTGCAGCAACCTAATTTGGGGGAGAAAAAAAAAACAAGATGAGAAAAACACAGATATAATACACATTTTAGTTTCAATACAAGGAACACATCTGGGGGACCCGTGCTTTGGAGTGGAATATTAGAATACAATATCTTGAAGTGTTACCCTACGTTTCTTCCTATAGAGTGAGTAGAGTAGGGGTATGTTGACCTTACCCCGTACAAGACAATACATCATGAAACTCGGTAACTTGACAAATCTCAACTCGCATCAAGCATCTTGGTGCTCACCACTTCGTCTTTTAAACACGTACCTGTTTTTTAAAAAGCATCTGCTGATTTGTCAGTAAAGCCAGAACATAACACCTTTATTGTTATCTCCATAAATATTTCTATACCACGTGAAACAACCAATAATAGGCTAATTTATTAAGCACTAACTGCGTCAGGCATTGTTCTAAGAGATTTACATGTAATAACTTGTTTAATGTGCATAACAACCCTATGGAATGAGTATTATTATTACCCGCTGTGCCATTTATGAAGTTATTATAACGCCAGCTATGAAGAAAGCTCAAGAACTTTGGAAATACTGCACTAAGTGAAAGAAGTTAGTCACACATCATATGATTTCATTTATATGAACTATGAAGTGTCCAGAGTAGGCACATGTCTTTCCAGAGACAGAAAATAGATAAGCGGTTGCCAGGGACTCGGGGGAGGGTAGGCTGGGAAGCGACGCTAGTGGGTACGGGGTTTCTTTTTGGGATGATTAGAGTGTTCATGGTGGTGGTTGCATGACTGGGTGATTATATGAAAAACCACTGAATTGTACATTTAAACAGTCAAGTTTTATGACGTGAATTATACATCAATAAAGATGTTTAAAATCATACCAACTATCATCCCATGACCAGTTACAGATACAGGAATGGTAGCAGCTGTATTTACCTTTTATGTATTTATAGAAATATTATTAATGTATATAAGTTTTGATGTAAGGTAACTTTACAGTCTAGTTTTAGGTAACAATATATGCAGGTGGGATTGTTGCTGAATCTGAGAACTGATTAGCGTAGACAGAGACAGAGGGTGTGCCTTTCCCAGCCTGCTCCCAGAGCTGGACATGAGTGCTGCTTTTCCTCATTTTGTGGAGAGGGTAGAAACATCTTTGCTTGTTCCAAGGATAGTTGCCTCTCATCAGGTGAAAACACAGAGTTGGTTTTGTCATAGTATGAAATTCCAAATAGAAGAGGGTGTGTCTGGAAGGTGAGTGGACAGAGGGGTAGACTGCAATCCTGGCCCCTTCCCCAACCTCCTCCTTCTAGCCTCTCTGTCATGCGGCAGCAAGGGCTCTGCAAACCACCGTCTGCACTCCAGCTCACTCCCTGTTAGGCTTTGCACACTGTATGACTGGGGAGAGACCGGAAGAGGAGGAAGAAGAAGGGATTTGCTCCTTCCTGTTGGCTTCCTGTTTGCCTGCAATTGTGAGTTTTATCCCAACAAGACTTCTTCAATCTGGAAGCTGCAGTTTCTTCTTGTAGCAACAGCTGAATCACATTTGAAGTTTTTTCAGTATTTGCAGAATCAGTGTCATTGCATCCCCTCTGAGTCATCAGCAACAGCACATGTGTCCCCTCCCCAGGGGTCTGGGTTGCAGGCCAAAGGGACCCCTCCTGTGATCTCAGAGGTATTAGCAACAGCCAAGTTCCACATCCTACTTAGAGGTCTGTTTTGACTCTATTTGACCTCTTAGAGGTGGAATTCGGTCCCATGCCACACTCGTATGTTGAAATCTAACATCATAGTGCCTCTGAATGTGATGTAATTTGAAAATAGGGTCATAGAAGATGTAATTAGGAAGCTAAGATGAGGTCATCAGGGTGGACCCTAATCCAATATGACTGATGTCTTTGTAAAGAGAAGAGATTTGAGCACAGAGATGTGCACACAGGAGGAGCTGCCCTGTGAGGCTGAAGGAGAGAGCAGCCAAGGAACATCAAAGATTACCAGTAAACCACCAGGAGTTAGGAGAGAACATGGAAGAAATTGTCCCTCACAAGCCTCAGAAGGAACCAACCCTGCCTGCACCTTTACCTTGGACTTCTTACCTCCAGGACTGTGTTGTTCAAGCCAGAAAGTACCCTGCACACTATCTCTTTTTTCTCATCTATTGAAGCATGATTGTCAAATAAAAAGTGTATATATTTGAGGTGTACAACATAATGTTTTGATATGCATATACATTGTGAAATGGCTGCCACAATCAATCTAATTAACACATTCACCACTTCACATGGTTACGTGTGTGTGTGTGTGTGTGTGTGTGTGTGTGTGTAGTGAGAATACTGAAGATCTACTCTCTTAGCAAATTTCAAATATAAAATATATCATTGTTAACTATAGTCATCATGCTGTACATTAGGTCTCCAACACTTATTATCTTACAATGGAAAGTTTATACGCTTTGAGCAACCTCTCCAATTTGCCCCAGCCATCAGTCCCTGGAACCACCATTCTACTCTTTGTTTCCATGAGTTCAACTTTTTTAGATTCTACATATAAGTAAGACAACGCAGCACTTAATGTTCTGTGCCTGGCTCATTTTGCTAAGCACAATGTCTTCCAGGTTCATCCATGTTGTTGCAAATGTCAAGATTTCCTTCTTTCTTAAGACTAGATAATATTCCATTGTGTATATAATAGCTCTATTTTTAATTTTTTGGTTTTTTGAGACAGGGTCCCACTCTGTTGCCCAAGCTGGAATGCTTTGTAATGTAATTTGAAATCAGGAAGTGTGATGCCTCCAGCTTTGTTCTTCTTGCTTAAGATTGCTTTAGCTATTTGGAGTCCTCTGTGGTTCTATATGCATTTTGGAATTATTTTTTCTATTTCTTTGAGAAATGTCATTGAGATTTTGATAGAGCTTGCACTGAATCTGTAGATCACATTGGGTAGTACATTGGGTGGCACGATCATGGCTTACTGCAGACCTGACCTCCCCAGGCTCAGGTGATCCTCCCACCTCACTTTTTGTGCTTTTTTTTTTAAGAGATGGGGTTTCGCCATGTTGCCCAGGCTGGTCTTGAACTGCAGAGCTCAAGTGATCCACCCACCTTAGCCTCCCAAAATACTAGGATTACAGGTGTGAGCCATCACACCTGTATCTTTTGACTTTTTGATAACGGCCTTTCCAACAGGTGTGAGGTAATACCTCACTGTGGTTTTGATTAAAGAAGACACAAATAAATGGAGAGATATTACACATTCATGAATTAGAAGAATTAATACTGTTAAAATACCTGTACTACCCAATGTGATCTGCAGATTCAGTGCAAGCTCTATCAAAATCTCAATGACATTTCTCAAAGAAATAGAAAAAAAAATTCTAAAATGCATATAGAACCACAAAGGACCCCAAATAGCTAAAGCAATCTTGAGCAAGAAGAACCAAGCTGGAGGCATCTCACTTCCTGATTTCAAATTACATTACAAAGCTATAGTAATCAAAACAGTTTGCTACTGTTGCATAAAAACAGACACATAAACCAATGGAACTGAATAGAGAACCTGAAATAAACCCCTACATGTATAGCTAATCTTCAACAAAGGTACCAATGTGGAAAGGAGAATCTTCTCAATAAATGGTGCTGAAAAACTGGTTAATCACATGCAAAGGAATAAAATTGGACCTTATCTTAAACCATACACAAAAATAAACTTAAAGTGAATTAAAGACTTAAATGTAAGACCTGAGATCATAAAATTCCTAGAGGAAAGTATAGGGGAAAATCTCCTTAGCATTGCTCTTGGCAATGATTTCTTGAATATGACACCAAAAGCACAGGCAGGAAAAGCAAGAATAAACAAGTGGAACTACCTCAAACTAGAAAGCTTCTGTATGGCAAAGGAAACAATCAACAAAATGAATAGGCAAACTACAGAGTAAGAGAAAATATTGCAAACCATTAATCCAATGGGGAGTTACATTTAAAATGTATAAGGAACACATATGACTCAATAGTAAAAATGCAAACACAAATAACCCAATTTAAAAATGGGCAAAGGACCTGAATAGACATTTTTCCAAAGAAGACATACAAATGGCCAAGTATATTGTGCTCTACATTGTGAACCAGTGGGAATTTATGTTGAAGTATAACACGCTCAACATCACGAATCATCAAGGAAATGCAAATCAATACCTTGTGTAATTTCTATCCCCCAACTGAGCCTTGGCTGATACACCCAGTTTTCATATAAAGAAACCAAGCACAGAGGAATTAAACAAATCGTCCAAAGCCAAAGAGCTCATGAGTGACTAAGCTAGGGTTGGTGCAACTCCAGAAGCCATGCTCTTAACCACAATGCATGACTGTATCTCCACAAACTAAAAACCTCAGTAAATTGGTGACTACACATGTAAAATATAAGATAGCATAACACCCCTTTCTTTCAAAGCTGAACACAGACTTCATCTTTAACTTACTTTCCTGTCTTTGCAGATACCTATAACCTGCACCAGCTCAGGTCCTCTGAAAATCAGAGAAAGTCTTGGGAAAGCTGATGAGGAGTCTTTGAGTAAAGGTTGTCCATGGTTAGGGTCCCATTTCTGGCAGGAATGAGCCAGATTTAGTTGTTCTGCCATGTTCAGTCAATGGCTGGATGTAGCTTGGGGGAAACACAGGCTCAATATGACCACCATGGTGGATCCAAAGGGACTGTGGCTTGAGGCTGTTAGTCAACTGTGCTTTCTGCAGCAGGTTTTCTTGAAGGAGACCTCTAAGAGATATGTCACTGTGAGGGATGTGAATCCACATGTCCATGCATGTCTGGGGAGTGGCTACTCCATGATCCAGGGGGCTATTCCTGAGACAAGACTTAGAAGAGGGAGGTTATTGGGGTGTGATGGTTAATTTTACGGGTCAACTCGACTGGGTCACGGGGTGCCCATATTAAACACTGCCTCTGGTTGTGTCTGTGAGATTAGCAAATTAGATTAGCATTTGAATCAGTGGACTCAGTAGATGGCCCTCCCCAGTGTGGGTGGGCATTCTCCAATCCTTTGAGGCCCTGAATACAGCAAAAAGCAGAGAAAGGAGGAATTCACTCCTTTTGCTCCTGTCTCACTGCTTAAGCAGGGACATCTCTTCTGAACTATGCCATCAGCTTTCCTGAGTCTCCAGTTTATAGGCAGCACATCATGGGACTTCTCAGCCTCCATAATCCCGTGAGTCAATTCCTTGTAATAAATCTCTCTCTCTGTTTCTCTCTCTCTCTCTCTCCTATTGGTTCTGTTTCTCCAGAGGAGCCCAACTAATACATGGGTGAACCACACCCCTACCACTGCAGGGGGTTGCTGCTTGCCACCGTTGATACTCATCAGCCCTTCTCCTCTATCCATTCTAAATTCCCTTCATTTATGGCTACCATGGTGGTCTTGGTGGCCCGGTGGTGTGACTCAAACCTTTGTTTCTAAGGGATCTGAGCCATTGGTTATCGTGTCCTTTTCAGGTTAGAGTTGCTGCACGTTGCCATTCCTGGTTACAACTGGGTCCCTGGGTGGATGGCCTGAGCGCTGCACATATTCCTGCTGCCTCCGCTGTGTAGCAGCAGCCCTTCCTCCCCTGCTGGGGAAACAGCATGCGCGATACAAGGGTTGCTGGTTTAATCCCTATGCTGTGTCCCGAAGGATGGTACCCTATCCCCTCAGTGAGCTGACGCTTCAGTTTTGCCTTTAGAAGGCTATTCTATACTTTCCGAGGCCAGCGGTTTCTGGAGCACATAGAAGTGATAAAACCAGGGGATCCCATCTGCAGCTCCTTTGCTCTGAGGTGGGCCCCCTGGTTGAATGCTGCACTGTGTGGGGTTCCACACCTGTGCATCAGGCATTCTGTGAGCCCCTGGATAGTGGTGCTGGCTGAGGCCCTAGAGACAGGAAAGGCAAACCCTATCTGAAGAGGCATCTACTTCTGTTAAGAAAACTTGCTGGCTCTTCCAGGATGGAAATCGTGCAACAAGAGGCCGATTGGTTTCCTTGAAACATAGTATCATGTTAGGGGCTCAGCATAACTTTCTACTGCTCGCACGTTGGCCAGCCAGGGGCAGCAGTAGCTAGACTAGCCTGGTAAGTAAAAATTCAAGCATTTGCACCCACCATGGCTGCTCTAGTTGCATGCTCATTGTACTAGCTTCAGGGACAAAGCTTCGTCAGCCTGAACTGGTTGAGCCGTTTGTTTTCTTCCTTATGCAGTGTATGGTTTATGGTGGACACCAACAAGCAATACAAAAGCTGAATTCCTCATGTCCCCTCCCCAGCTGCACACCTTGACTTCAGATGCCCTTGTCTTTGACCTCCTTGTCTTTGATCTTGTCTTCCTTCTCCTCCCATGCCCTTGACCAGCTGGTGAAACCATTTCTTACAACCCAGAAAACTATATATTCCACTTCAGGCCACTTCTCCTTCCACATAAAGTGGATGACCAGGTGTACCACACAATTCTGCCCACTGTTTCCAGGGCCACTCCTGAATGTGACTGCAACGCAGCCACTGTCTATTTCTGGTGTGCACCTGCTTTCCAAGTTTAACGGTCTCTAACTAAATTTCTCCTACAGCTGGTCATAGAGGATCCCACTGGCCACAGGGATGAGCTACGGTTGGTGACATGCGGGTCTGTTCTACCTGCTCATGCAGCTTGCTGTTCCCCTGGTCCTGCTCAGACTTGATCCAGATGTACCATCTCCATCCAATGATAGATGGCTGCTGGGCCAACATTATGACTTAATCGGTCTGATGAATGAGCCTGTAGTGGGCAGCTGCCTTATGGTCAAGTGCGTTCCATCTCCCCCAGAGCCTGGTAACATGCCAAGAGCTGTCTCTCACGAGGTGTGCAGTGCCCTACTGCGGATGCAATTGCATGGCCCTGCTCCAGCACCCCAGAGGCAGGTGCTGATTGATCTGCTGGGGTTCAGCACAAATTCACACAGCATCTGGTTCCACTGATACCTCTGATACCATAGGATCTGTGCCAGCTCATACGGCCCCCATGGCAGGTCTGGATTTGCTTCAGGCCCCATTTTTAAAGCTGGAAGCCTTCCATGCCATCTGGTATAGGGCCAGAGCCTATCCTTGGTGTGCAGTGTTGCCTGAAGAACTCCAAGAGGTTAAACTGGCAATGTACTTCCTTTGCCGTAGGGATGCAGGATGTAGCAGTGTATCTGTTACTTTGGAGGGGATATCTGGGCAACCCTCCTGACCACTGAAAAACTTTCCTCAAATGGCAGGCCCCTGAATTTTTATGTGGCTGATCCTCTACCCTTTGAAACATACGTATCTTACCAATATACTAGCCATCTCTTGCTTGTCCTGGCCAATCAGTGTGATGTCATCAAGTTAAAAAAATCAACATAATGTTTTGTAGGATGTCCAATGGTCCATATTTCCTTGGACTAATACAGAGAGCAGGAAAGCTAACATGGTTCTGGGGCAAAAATATGAATGCATATTGTTGTCTTTTTCATGTGAATACAAATGGTGCCTGATCCATTTTTTTTCTGATAGGAATACAAAATACATCCACCAAATGGATACCATGTACCTGAGGATTCATGAATCTGCCCTAGCAACAGTCCTGCATCTGGTTTTGAGCACACTTTTTGCAAATGGAGCTACTACTTGACTGAGCTCGGGTAGTCCACCTTGATACAGAACAGAGAGGGAGCTTGTGCAAATTCACAGAGAAAACTGTGGAGCCAGAAAAGACATACTGTTCTTTCCAATATGATGTGGAAGTCTGAAAGATTAGGAATTGTTTGGTAAGAAAAAAATATACATAGCTATTTGTGGATGACAATGCCCTGACACTGTTCCTCCTTTCTGTCCTTGGTTGGGGGCCTGCCTCATTTCTCATTGAGGGGAATTCCTTCATCAGGACCTGCTACGCTAATGGTCACGGACCAATGTTCTTTTTGCTGTTTGAACAGAATGCTTGCCTTGTGTATGTCCAGTCACAAAGTTCCCTTGATAAAAACCATATGAAAATACCACAAAGCCAAAGGGCAATAAATATTGTTACATAGAGCACGTTTTGTTGAAAATCATGGTTTTAACACTTTAAAAAATATCTCTTGCTAAGGCTTACTCTCCCAACACAGGCTTCTTGACCCAGCCCCTTTCTTTGAGATAGCTCTCATCTAACACAGTCGGGATACTGGTTTGTCATTTGATATCAATCAGAACTTTAAAAAGGAGAAAGGAGACAAACTTGGATTAGATGACTTCTGGGGTCAGGTTAGTGCCAACCCTGAGGTGGTGCAGAGTCAGGGGCCTCCACCTTTGCAGAAAGGGTCCATCGCCTTCATCTCCCAGCTGCCTTGATTAAGCAGAGGCCCTGCAAGGTGTGGAGAGCTGCTTCAGATTCTCATCATCCTTTTCTCTATCACGTTTCACAAACTACCTCCCATTACCCAAATGCCCACTTCTTTCCTCTGCCAAGGGGAAAATTATTAGGTGCCAGCACACTCAATAGGTGGTTATTCAGTTGCACTTGAAAATGTTCATTTACTGTAACAGGCTCATTATTCTAGGAATGTAATTGGAACCCAGACTGTTATGACCTCAGGAAATAGAATGTAACAAAGCTACACAGAAATATTAACTTTGCCCCAAAGCAGGGCAGCCCTTTCCTTAGGGAAAGTGGAAGAATCCATCCTATTCTCTCATAGGCCTATAGATGGTTGGAGCTGAAGCAACTTTAGAGGACTTCTAATAAAAATTTCTTAATTGACCCATGGGGAAACTGAAGCTTATCCACTTAAAAAAATAGACCTCTGCCATAGAGAACTTTTTCTAGTGACCACTAAAATTTAGAGTAGCCAAGAATTAGGCAAGAAAGACTTTATCTATACAACATGGAAGTTAAGGGTACTTATAACCAGATGTTAGGATGACAAGTATTAAAAACATTTTAAAAGTTGAAGAAAAATAAGGAGAGAGGAGTAAAAACCAAAAACCCATATTAATAGCTTATGTAAAGCAAGGGGTTTAGACAAGATGACAGAGGTCTTTCCAGCTCTGACATTCTATTTCATCATGTCTAGTGTGCTTTTAAAAATCATTAATAAAGTGGAGTTTAATACACATATAATGCACTGTACACTAATCAAATAGCCAACGCAGGAATCTGGTTTGATATTAATGATTTAGACTGGAAACTGTTCAACAAATGGGCTTAAAATAATTAAAAAGGCTATCCCCTTCAAGTGAGCGATGCTTAGGCTAATCTGGGACCTTATTTTTAAGCCTCAGAATAGCTATATTCCAGAGACCTCATTTGAGTTCAGTTTCCCTTTTTGGAGTAAAGTTTTATGGCCTCATGTGACTTTATAAGAAGGACATCATTATATGCACACACGCATACATATGAGCCATGTTTGAAATTGCTAATTTCAGCCTCTGAACAAAGAGTATTTTGTAGTATAGTAAGACATATTTACTAGTATTAAAACGGCAGACTTAGTATAAGTTTTACAACATTAAAAATGCAATGGAATTTTTTAGACCCAAAATAATATATAGTGCTTAACTTTTCTCAATTGTGTTAAAAACACAGAGTCAAGATCCATGACCCAGTAGAGACATGCACAGGATATGAATAGACAATTCAAAAAAAAAAAAGGAAAAGTACTTGTCTGTTGAACATAAGAAAAGAGGCTCACTGTACTTATTATCAGAGAAATACAAAGTAAAACTATACTGCGAGGTAATTTTTCATAAATCAAACTGGCAAAAATCCAAAAGTTGCTAATCTTTCTCGTGGTAGAAGCTGTGGGGAAACCACTCTCATGCATTGTGGGGAGAGTCTAAATTGCTACAGCCCCAGTGAAGGTCTATTTAGCAACAGCTATCAAAATTACAAATGTGGCTGGGCACAGTGGCTCACGCCTGTAATCCCAGCACTTTGGGAGGTGAGGTGGGCAGATCGCGAGGTCAGGAGATTGAGACCATCCTGGCTAACACGGTGAAACCCCGTCTCTACTAAAAATACACAAAAAATTAGCTGGGTGTGGTGGCGGGCACCTGTAGTCCCAGCTACTTGGGAGGCTGAGGCAGGACAATGGCGTGAACCCAGGAGGCGGAGCTTGCAGCGAGCCCAGATCACGCCACAGCACTGCAGTCTGAGTGACAGAGCAGGACTCCGTCTCAAAATAAAAATAAAACAAAATTACAAATGCATATTGCCCTTTGACCCAGTAATTCACTTCTGTAACTATCCTACAGATATACTTGCACATGTGCAAAAAACTGACATATATCTACAAGGTAACTCATGGCAGCATTGTTGGTAGTAATAAAAGATTGGAAACCTCTAAAATTTCCATTAGCAAGGTTTATTTAAATACAGTATGGTACATACAGTTTTTTTTAATGAAGAGGCTCTCTATACCTATGATATGGAAATATATCCAGATACAAAATTTTGTGAAGAAGCAAGGTGAAGAAAAGTATGTGCATAGTATGTTCCTTTTGCGTAAAACCGAAAGGGGAGATAATAATATATATTTGTGTTTGCTAACACTTATGCTTAAAAACTCTGGAAAGAGATACAAAAAAAATTAAAAGTTTTTATTTTTAAATTTAGATTCAGGGGGTACATGTGCAGGTTTGTTACAAGGGCATATTGTTTGATTCTGAGATTTGGACTCATGATTCAGTCACCCAAGTAGTGAACATAGTACTCAATAGGTAGTTTTCCAACCCTTCCCCTCCTTTCATCCCCTCTTTTGGAATTGCCAGTATTTATTAACCCCACGTTTAGCTCCCACATATAAGTGAGGATATGCTATATTTGGTTTTCTGTTTCTGCATTAATTTGCTTAGGATATGGCCTCCACTGCTTCCATGATACTGCAAAGTACATGATCTCATTCTTTTTTATGGCTGCATAGCATTCCATGGTGTGCATGTACCATATTTTCTTTCTTTTTTTTTTTTCTTGAGATTGAGTCTTGCTCTATCGCCCAGACTGGAGTGTAGTGGCTCAATCTTGGCTCACCGCAATCTCTGCATCCCAGGTTCAATTGATTCTTGTGCCTCAGCCTTCCTAGTAGCTGGGATTACAGGCATCTGCCACCATGTCCAGCTAATTTTTGTGTTTTCAGAAGAGTTGGGGTTTCACCATGTCGGCCAGGCTGGTCTCAAACTCCTGACCTTAAGTGATCTGCCTGCCTTAGCCTCCCAAAGTGCTGGGATTACAGGCATGAGCCACCACACCCGGCCTGTACCACATTTTCTTTATCCAAACCACTGGCAAACAAAAGTTTTATGGGAACAGGACACATAGTGGATAAAGGCAGAAGAAAGACTTTTTACTGAATACTTTTGCATATCTTTGTTTTATTTTGAAAACGATGTGAATGTATTACTAATCAAAAAGATTCAATAATTTTCAAAATAGAGATGTTAAGAAATCACTTTGCCAAAAAAATCAAAACACCAAATGTCTGTTTGATTTGGTTTACTTTGAGTTTATATTGCAATATAATCATAATCACCTACTATGAAAGTCGGCATGTATTTTGTGGTGATTGATTTTTTTAATGTTCTTTAAAAAATACTTATTTCTTATTTAGACTTAGAGTTAGCAGTGATGGTTAGGTAAGATATCGTAACAGTCCCATAGGAATATCTTTATTACATAAATGCTAAACAGCCTGCTAAATTCTTATTGCAATATTAACACAACAGCCTCCTCACCAGCTTCCACCTTGCCTTCCTCTGGTCCATTCTCAGCTCGGGAACCAGAATCATCCTGCTGAAAGTATGAATAAGGTTGTGTCATTCTTCTGCTCGAAGCCCTCTTGCTCTTGTAAAAGTCCTTACAGTGGAGTATGAGGTCCTATAGACAGCAGTGCCCAGCTTGTGGCAGGTGTCACTTTGGCTCCAAACACACTCTTCTTTGCCTGTCTTGCAATGCTGGAGCTGGTCCCTGTTGATATTCTCCTGACACAATGCTCAGCTCTGTCAGCAGAGGGCACTGCAGGAGGAAGGAGTAAAATAACATTTCAAGGCCAAAGCAGAAAGCATGTGGTTCAAAATCCAGGTCATCACATTCCAGAACCTGCACTTTTAATCTGTTTACACTGTTGGTTCCCCATTTTTGGCAGGCAGTTAGGTGGTGGGTTAGGGCATCTCTTCCAGTTGACAAGGGCCATTGCTAATATTATTTAGCAAAGATATTTAACAAACTTTGAAACCACCTGTCTATATCTTCATTTAGCTTGGTCTTTGACAGCTATCAAATGAGAATGTTTTGATGTTTTTGCAGCAATTCTGAGGTGAAGGGCTAGCTCTTTGTTCCCATCTATAAGTTTGTCATTGCAACCCCATCAGAAACAGAAATGATGTGTCTGTTCTTTCATGCGTGATATCTACTGGTGAATATTAATTTAGTGATATGTTTTCGAAGGTCACTGGGGATTGATTTCAAGCTTACTTGTTCATCATTTCCAAAATTCAGCCATTATGCTTAGGCAAGTAAACAAGCAGGACCTTGCCCAGCTCCCTGCTTCTGGTAGTACTGTGATGATGCTCCATGAGTTAACGTAGCAAAGTGACCCTGAAATTACATCACCAAGGTTTTCCAATAATCTGGATGTTTATCTATTCTTGATTTAATATCTTGCTAAAATTCCCCAAACAAAAAATTCCAATAGGTAATATCTCATAATAAAATACTAAAACATCCATAATCGTCAATTGCTTCTGGTTTCTAAAAATTATAGGCTATTTTCCTAATAGGTGCATTCATAACCCAGTCATCATAAACTCCAAGATACTAATTTTGTTCAAAATCTATGGTGATCTGACCCAACTTGAAAGACTCCAGGACTGCTCTGTCCTCTTTCTCTGATACTTATGTGCCCTAGGATAAAGTGTTGCCTACTAGCGAGTCTTTGCCCTTCCTGGTCACTGTATGCCTTGTACAGTTACGTGTTCTGCAGGCTCTGTGTTGATACATGTCCACCTTGTAAGAAAATCCAACTTCCGGGGCCCAGGCCAAAGATGTGTTAATCTAAATCATAGTAACAGTCATGAGACATCACTCTTTCTCTATTTCCAAATTTCCCCCATTTGTTCTTTCAAAGGTTGGCTGTGTGCCTCTGCACAACATGTCAGGGCCAAGAAGTTGCTTCCAGCTCATCTAATCTGGAGAGATGGGATTACCTGTCAGACTTAGATTTTGCTGCTTTTGTAAAATGAGTCTACAGGATAGAGTGGCACAGAGTGGGAGTAGAAAAATAAAACTCTAAGTGACAGACTCTCAAGGGTGAGAAGTTGAACGTGTGAAGCGTTGGGGTTTAAAGACCCTGCAGTCCAGATGGGCTTTTTGTCACCTGTGGGAGCCCACACATAATCACCAGTGGACCCAGCGCCCTGAGTTCAACTGGTCAGTAGCTGCGAGAGAGCAGGAGCCAGGAGCGATCTTCTTTGGAAAAAGCACATTTATTCAAGGGATACACGTCAGGAGACAGCAAGAGAGAAGGTAGAGGGGGGCGAGGTTGGGGAGGAAAAGGGGACGTGGTGAAGAAGGAAGGAAGTGAAGTTCCCTCTGTGGTTAGATGATTAGTCATGAGTAATGTGCTCTTTACATTGTTGTGTTATGTTTTTTGTTGTTGCTGTTGGTCAGAAAGGTTCAAATATGTGTAGACAGAGAATTTTTTTGTGAAAGATCCTACTACTTGAACTGAAGCCATTTTCTGAGGCCGGGAAGCTCGCTTTGTAGAAGGAATTTTAGTGTTATCATCATAAATTTAAAAGAATCAGGCTCTTGTCTTTCCTTGGCCTTGGTTGGTTTGTGTTTTCAGAACAGCTGTGCTATAAAAATATGCCCTCAAACACATGTGCTTTAAGTGGTAGGATCATAGAATTCACAAAGACACACACTTTAAAATGCTGGAGTTTGCAATCCCCAATAGTGATATAATTGTTATGAATTTGCGCCGTACAGCACAGCACCAACACTGATGGAGTAAAACCCACAGGAAATGCAAGAAGAAATATGCAGAAATTCACCGACAATAGGAAACTCAGTTCATGTTAGATCAAGCACATGTGCACACATACAATGTAAAAAAACAAGACCTAAACCAGTAATGAAACGGATCTAATTGCTATATGTCAGATGCTATACTCTCAAATTAGAGAATGAACGAATCCTTTTCCCAAATGATCCAGTAATAGTCATAAAAATGGACTAAGTCAGGCAGAGAGAAAACATCAATTGTTTTTAAGTTAAAATGTACAAACATTTTTATCATAATTCAATAAAATAAGAAGTCAATAATAAAATTAGAAACTAGAGAACAAATAAACAGGGCCGGGTGCAGCAGCTCACACCTGTAATCCCAGTACTTTGGGAGGCCGAGGTGGGTGGATCGCCTGAGGTCAGGAGTTCAAGACCAGCCTGACCAACATGGTGAAACCGTGTCTTTACTAAAAATACAAAAATTAGCCAGACGTGGTGGCACATGCCTGCAATTCCAGCTACTTGGGAGGCTGAGGCAGAAGAATCACTTGAACCTGGGAGGCAGAGGCTGGAGTGAGCCGAGATCATGCCACTGCACTCCAGCCTGGGTGACAGAGCGAGACTCCATCCCAAAAAATAAATAAATAAAGTAAAACCACCACTAAAATATTTTGAAAACTCTTTTTTAATTCTTCTGTCAATGAAAAATCAAAATCAACATCAAAATTGCAGAATATTTAGAAAATAATGATAATTAGAACAATATATATATAAGCCTATGGGGTGCCAGTAAAGCAGCGTTCAGAGAAAAACAGTAGCTTTAGATGTTCATATTGTTAAAAATAAAATATGGAAGGCAAGTACATTAAGCCTGCATTTTAGGAGCTTGAGGAAAAATAACAGAATGAATGTAAGGAAAACAGAAAGAAGTAATTTCTTTTTTTTCTTTGAGACGGAGTTTTGCTCTTGTTGCCCAGGTTGGAGTGCAATGGTGCGATCTTGGCTCACCACAACCTCTGCCTCCCGGGTTCAAGTGATTCTCCTGTCTCAGCCTCCGTAGTAGCTGGGATTACAGGCATGTGCCACCAGGCCCAGCTAATTTTGTATTTTTAGTAGAGACGGGGTTTCTCCATGTTGGTCAGGCTGGTCTCGAACTCCTGACCTCAGGTGATCCACCCGCCTCAGCCCCCCAAAGTGCTGAGATTATAGGCATGAGCCACCATGCCCGGCCAGAAAGAAGTAATTTCTATGGATAAAAACAGAAATGAAACAATTTTTAAAAAGAAAATCAGTAGTACCCATAAATAAACTCAGCTGTTGCTTTCAGTAAAACTCATATCAAAAAACATTAGCATGAATAAGGAGAGAAATACAAACACAAAAATTTAGAAAGAATAATGCAAATAGAGTACAAACTTAAAATTATAAGAGACTAATGTCAAAATGTTATACAAATAAATGCATATTAATTATCAAAATTGATCCCTAAGCAGAAAAATCTACTCAGACCAATTAACACAGAAGAATTAAAATTAATGAAGATCTGCTCCCCAAAATGCATCAAATCTGGACATTTTCCACAGATTCCTATCAAGCCTTAAGGATTAGGTCACTCTAGTGCTATTTAATTTGTTTCAGAGCATTCATATTCTTTCTATGCAAGTAGCATAACATTGATAACAAAACCTCCCACAAATTATTGCATAAAAGAAAAATACAGGCCAATTTCATTTGTGAAGACCCATGGAGAAAACACACACAAAATAGTGCAGATAAGAGCAGACCAAGAGGAGCAGCATGAACAGGGAACACTCAACATCCTTGGGCAAATGTGTAGTGCCTTGTTATCCATGCTGTCTGAAGCACAACAGGCAACCTGGTAGAGCCGTCTATGAGACTAGGGGAGAAGGATCCTGACTCTCGGGTTGAGGGGCTTTTGTACTGCATTACTAGAGAGGGATTGGCCCTTGCCTGGTGTAATCAGTGCTAAAATGCAATAAAATGCAATACCAACATGATGCTATAGGACCTTGGTTTCTGCTGTAGCATACCAGCCCATGGCTCATGGAGTCTGCAGAGAAGCATTGTACTCTCTGCCTCTGGTGAGAGAGGGATTGATTCCTTGCAAACCTTGGGGTTCAAACTTTGCAGCTATAGTTAATAAAGAAGCAATGTAATGGCAGGATTTATCATCTCAGCATTCATGTTTAGGGAAATACCAGCTCCTACCCTGGCACATTCAGGAGCTGGGATCCAGGCTTTGCAATTGACCAGAAATGATGCTTAAACACTGCACTGTAGCCAGTTTCCACGTAGCTTGAAAGACCAGCTCTCTTTCTGGCAGCCACATTTCAGGAGCTCAGTCTTGGACAGACCAACTTTTACCTCAATAAGTAAATAGAATCCAGAAAAATACTGAAAGAGTAATATGCCACACCAAGTGCTTTATCCCAAGAATTCAAGGATGGTTCAATATTAGGAAATCTGTTGATATAATGTACCTACTGAAATGTTAAAGGAAAAAATATGATACAATCTTCATAGATAATGAAAAGTATTGGTAAAACTCAACATCCAAAATCTATTCTTGATTTTTAAAATACTTAATAATTTAGAAAAAGTTTATTTGGTAAGAAGATTCTCTTTAAATTCAGAAACAAATAAAAGATGTCCTTTATCATCACTATGATTTAAAATTGTTCTGCAGGTACTAAAATTTCAATTAGATAAGAGAAAGAAATAAAAACACAAAATTGGAAAACAGAAGGTAAAATTATTATAATTTTACCGAATAGACTCAATCTAAAATCATTGTAACCAATAATAGAATACAACAACATTTTTGAGTAGAAAACTTCTATGATAAACAGACATTATACCACTGGTGGAATTTTTTAAATATGATGAAAGAGCTGGGCAAATTTACACATGCCTGTAGTCCCAGCTACTCAGGAGGCTGAGGTGGGAGGATTGCTTGAGGCCAGGAGTTTGAGGCTGCAGTGCATCTTGATTTTGTCTGTGAATAGCCTCTGTACTCCAACCAGGGCAACATAGTGAGATACTGTCTCTTAAAAAAAAAAAATGAAAGAAAAGACCCCATTTGTGAAAGTAATAAAAAAAAAAGCATATAATGAATAAAAACATGCAATTCCTAAATGCTACTGAAGGACAGAAATAAAGACTTGGACAAACACAAAAAAGGTATTTCCCTAAATTAATCTATAAATTTACCATAATCCCAATAAAAAACCAACAAGATAGTTTTTACTAGATAAGTTGATTTCTAAAGTTAGTATGAAAACAAACAGCACAACCGTCGCAGACCCAGGAAAGGAAGGGCAGTGCTTCCATGGAGGTTAGAGTCATGCAGACCCAGGAAAGGCAAAAGAGTATTCCAGATGAAGAACAGGGGTATGGTAGACCTAGGGCAGGGAGGGGAGTGCCCCCCATGGAAGACACAGCCACTGCAGACCCCAGGCAGGCAGGTGAAGCATTCAGTCTCTGTTCCCTCTCATCCTCTGGTATTCCACTGATGTTGCCCATTGATCAAACCCAACTGGACACCAACCTCCCAGGACACAGAACATGCTGAGAAGGGTAGAGAACAGATCCGGGCTGAGTGGCCAATAAACAATAGCCAACACAGTTGCCGCCTGCCCCTGAGGCTCAACTGTCCCCCATGGAGGGCATGTCCTTTCTTCCGAGATTAAACCACTGATGGCATTTCCAGAGTTCACTCCTACTTTATGTTCACAAGGATTGATAGACTTTACTGTCTTGGCAGGTGTGAAGTACAGTCACTGAGAAGCTGAAGTGTGTTATAGAGAACGGATTCATTATTAGCTCACCAAAACTACCCACAACATCTCCAAAAGTAAATAAAAATTTTAAAAGAAAAAAAAAAAGACTAGCCAGGCATTTTCTGTGGGGGGATTGTTTGGACACCATTGAAAATCAGTGTTGGAATGATAGGTTTAGAAAAGCCAAAATGCTCTCTTAGGATAAATTCCATCATCCATAAATTCCATAAATTCCATCCATAAATTCCATCATCCATAAAATAGGATCTTTGTATTCCCTGTGGTTATCAGGCATAGGAATGAAAATAAAATGACGTTGATGAAAGTATTTATTCAACTGTAAAGAATTAGGCAAATATAAGGTTGGATTATTTGCTTCTAGATCATGGCATGTAAAAATTATATAAAATGTAAATGTTAGTGTCCATAAATAAACTTTTGTTGGAACACGACCACACCCATTTGTTTACATATTGACCTTTGGGAGTTTGTGCTACGACTGCAGAGGTGGGTAGTTGATACAGACACCGTGTGGCCCACGAAGCCTAAAGTAGTATCTGGCCCTTTACAGAAAAATGTTGCCTCTAATCTAGTAGAAGAAAACAAATCTATAAACAATTAACTGTAAATAGGATGAGTCGAGTTTGCAGGGACAGAGTCAAGAGCAAATGCGGGAAAAGATGACCTCTTCCTGCAGGAGGCGGGGGCAGAGTGAGGGGCCAGGAAGGGAGGCTAGCCCCTTATGAGCACTGGCCTGCTGCACTGACCATAAAATGTCAATAAACGTACACATCAGCAGGACTTCCTCCAGAAAGCACTTTTCCAGTGCTGGTGGTGGATTTATACAGATCCCACCAAATATTCATCCTTTACCCCTGTGGCCAACACCAGCACTTGCTGGATTGCTGGATGATTCGATGGCTGGACATTTTAGAGACACTCTGCCCAAACATGGCATAACTGACTTGCTCAGAAATTGAAGCCATGCCAACCTATACATTTGTTGCCACTGGGTTGCCATCAACTACGCTAACTGGCCACAGATAGAAATGGGGATTTGTGGTTGGAGGTTATTCAAAGATGAAAAATAACAAAAGGAATTGGGTTGGAAATCATGGCCCACAGCTGGAGGGATAACTCCAAGATCTTCAGCAAAACCATCTCCAACTCACTGCAGGACTGAGACAAGAAGCTACAATATGTGATGAAAGACAGTTGAGAACAACAAGCCTCAGCAAACAGCAGGCCCCGAAGAGCAAGTGGTAAGGGGGCAATCTTGGAAAACAGCACAGCAGAGCACACAGCCTCCTGTGTCCAGCCAGTGCAGGAAATTCATCTCGTCTCCCCAAATTCCAATAATAAAATGGGTTGACATTAGCAAGAATGATATGCCACTGGCTTATCTGAAATGAACTAGTTGTCCTAGGGGTTATGGTGCTAGTTGACAGTGCCTCTCCTCCTTCTCCTTCCTGCCATGTGTTAGCCATGCTTGCTGGCTCACCATGCTCATGGCAAGAGATGCTAGCTGAGGATGCCGGAAGGATTCCCAAAGAACTAAAGGAAGGCGAAGATTTGCAGTACAGACAGGATTCACAGTAACCTGGAGGGGGTGTGAGGGCACCCCCTGCATCTCGTGCAGGGTTGATCAGAAGAGATCCTGAGGTGTTTGGAAATCCTGTCTTCTACTTGAGCCCCACGCAATCTGGTCTTCTGCTATTCAGTTACCTGGGAGGGAGCTGAGTCTCTGGTGTCGCCACTGGCCAGCCTCAAAGAGCTATGCCCCTCCCTCCCCATACACCTCCTGCCCCGGCGTGCCACCCCCTCTTTCTGAATCCCAGAATAGCAAAGAGTTGAAGGCATCTTTGCACAGAGCTTCAGGTTCATTTCTGTTTCACTCTCATCCTCATGATCCATGTGTGCTGTACTCTTCGGGACCATGGCATTTAGCCATGGGACTATAAAGGAGCCTGGCTCGGACTTGGTCCTTGCCTAAAAGGAGACAACCAATTAGCGGCAGTGATAACTACTCTATAGCATTTCACAGATTTAAAATGCTTACATCTTATATAGCCTCACAATAACGCTGTGGGGAGGATCATTTTATTCCCCCTTTACAGACAAGACAACCAAGACCTAACCGAGACCTAGAGAGGCAAAGTAACTTATCCCAGATGCTTTAGCTGGGAAGCAGCGGGGTCAGGGTGGGGTCTGGTTTTCAGAAGCAGAGTCCTTAGAGTTCCTTACCTGAGGCTGCCTGGAGATAACGCTATGAATAAAATCACTGACTCAGCGCAATGCGTTACAAAAGAGTAAATTTCAAAAGTTCTTTGTTTATGCCTATCCCAGAGAGCAAGATTCTCCTTTAAGAAGTAAAAGCTAGGTAGAAAGTGAATAAATGAAATATTATGCCACTTGTTTTGAAAGCCTCATATTTATACATTCCTTAATTTGTTTTTCACTCACCATATCTGAATGGCTAATGCCACGGATAGAAAAATTCATCATTATTTCCAGTTTCTTAATAGGGTCCTCTAGCATCTGACAACCAGAGAATCATAATTGTCTATGTTGCTAACTAGTATGAGTTTAGATATTCTGTTAGCCAGGCAACTACTTAAAGCAAACTTGCGAGCTATAAACAATTTTCTTTGGAAATATCTGCGGTGACTGATTTAGCATTGTTTGTTTGTTTTCGTTTAAGAAACTCCACTGAGAACTCTGGGTTCTGAAATACGTAACTGTTTGAAAGCTTCCTTGATTTTCTAAATGCCATTTGCCTTCTGAGAGTCAAAGGGCAAACTTGAATATAACAATATTCAAGTTATTTTTTAACAGATTATCTAAAAGCCTGAACGGAGTAAGGTTATACATATTTACTTACTGAGAGCTTGCTTGGTGGAGACACCACCAAGCATTTCAAATAACTGAAGACAATTCCTGCTACAACCTTATGGGGCCAGGTGACCACCTGCGTCTTTGCGGGTGGGAACCTGAGGATCAGACTTGCAGAACGCCCACCTCATAGTGGCTGAGGTGGGGCTCGGACTGCCCTGCCTGACGCCAACGCTGTGCAAGAAAGGCCAGCTCTCCATTACACCTGTTCCCAGGGTGTGGCCACCCCTGGCAAGGTCCCCATCTTTCTTTTTCCTTCTTATCTTCCACATACTAGGCAGGCACCCAACATTCTCTTGCTTTGTTTTCATTTTCCAAATCCACCCAATGGAATCTCTCCTCTCAGGAAGAATCTGATAAACGTACTGAGGAAACAAAAATGTCCAGAGAAGCTTCGCGTGTGCTCTCCCTGTTGCAGGGTATTCTCGTGGAGGACAAAGTCCTTGTCTGGCAGACATCAAAGGCATGGGAGGGTGTGACTGTGGAATTTCAGGCCTCAGTGAGCCAAGGGGAAAGAATTTCGAAAGGCAGAAGATCCAAAAGTCACACCGTTTAGACAGCTCCCACACGGACGCCCTCTGAATTCTCCCGCAGCGTGCCTTGCCTTCTGTGCTTTACTCATGGCCCCTGCACACCTAAGTGTGAGAAATACAAGTGGCTTCCTCGCCTGCTAGTAGAAGCCCTGAGTTATTTTTTAACAAACTCTTATGTCGTATCCACCACATGCTAAGAACTTTGTAAATATTAATTCATTTACTTTTCATACGAATCCTGTGAGGTAGGATTATTATGATTCTCATTTTGCAAACGCAGAAACTGAAGTACAGTGAGAGTAAGTAACATGCTCAATGAGAAAGGAGGTGGCAGAACAGAAATCTGGGCCCAGGCAATCTATGGTCTTATTCCATGTTAAATTCAGAGACAAGCCTAACCCTCAGGTTTGCAAATCTGGGAGTAGAGTTTCCCGATGAATGAACGATCCGAGGGCAGTCCACTGGGGGACGAGAATGAACGTTGATATTTGCCCACTGAAACGAGTGAGGGCTGTTGTTAGATTGCAATTATATGCTGAAATTTCCCTTAAATAATAGTAAAATTACAGAGTGAATTCGGGAGCTGGAGATACCTTAATGATCATTTGATCTAATTGCCCACAACTGTCTGCATTTTACAAAACCCAGAGACTCAAATAACAAGGAAAAGCCGGGCACAATGACTCACAACTGTAATCCCAGCACTTTTGGGGGCCGAGGCAGGTGGATCACCTGAGGTCAGGAGTTCTAAACCAGCCTGGCCAACATGGCACAACCCCGTCTCTACTAAAAATATAGAAAAAAAATAGCTGGGCATGGTGGTGTGCGCCTGTAGTCCCAGCTACTCAGGAGGCTGAGGCAGGGGAATCACTTGAACCCGGGAGGCGGAGGTTGCAGTGAGCCGAGATCCCATCACTGCATTCCAGCCTGGGTGACAGAGCGAGACTCCATCTAAAAACAAACAAACAAAAACAGGGTAAGTCTACAAGACACATTGAAATAAGTATAAACACAATGTGATACGAAAACATAAAGAATAGTATGTGGTTTCTGTGTTCAAGGACTACGAAGAATTGGAGAGACAGAGCAAACCACCAAAAACCCCAGGAGCAAAAGGGAAGTGGGAAGGAAGCACACGGGTTACACTGACTGTGTGGACCTGCGTGCTGCCGGAGGAATTCGGAGCGGCTCTGTCAGGGAGAACTCCTCAGGGAAGGGGAACCTGAATCCCGAAGGATGGGGATACTGAGGCCTGTGCGGTCTCCATCTCTCCCTCCATCCATGACGGGAGGGCCAATCGCTCACCCCATTGCCAAGCTGTCTTGTGTGTTTACTTCAACCATGAGAAATTTCTGAGGAGCAGTTGAAGCGATGTGTGTTCCTAAAGGTAGGCCTGAAAGAAGGCACTGTGGCTTATGGCATGAGTTTTATTTACAATTTCCCGTGACAGTTTTAAGCCTATTGGCGTTCCTTACCTTACTCTTCAGAGAATTTTTATTCAAGAAAATCAACAAATCGTTCATCCCTGAAACACTAGATGGTTTTGTGACTCTGAGAGTATTATGGAAATTATAAATGATAAGGAAACTCTGGGCCAAATTTAAGTTTTATGTGACTGTCCAAGAATTATAGAGGATGGGAACCTGACCCTTTGAGAGTTAAAAATGTTGCTAAGACAGAGAAGACTGGATGCACAGAGCCAAAGTGTACTAAATCACATTGGTGGTGCAATTATCTCCCAGCAAAGATCCGTGGAGGTGAAGGTCAGGCTGGGGGTCCAGAGGATGGTTAGGGAAACAGGGTCCCCCTTGTTAAAATAAAGCAATTAGTTTAATATATACTGTAGGGAAAGGAGAGAAGGGAAGGGAAATTCCCCTTGTCAAATGTCGAGCGTTTTGAATACCGCTTAGAGCAAAAGTAATAAGGCACTCTTCATGAAAAAATTAGCCATATACCACGTCTAAGTGCAAACATGTGTGTTCTTTATGTCTCTAATTCATTTCAACTTCTGTTAACTGGGAATATTTTTATGTGCATTCTCCGTTGTTCCCTTTCTCACTCTAACAAAAATGTGTCAGGGGGCAGGAACGCTGCTCATGGTTGCAAGTACATTTACATACCATAAAATATTTAATGGCTCTTTCTAGTATGGTTAAGCCCCACCAAATGGCTAAACCAACTTTAATTTACAATTCATGGACCGAAGCATCTAAAGGGCCATAATATTTTGCTGCTGCTAATTTATATCTCTTAGAGAGACATTAAATTTAAAATCGGCCATTTAGAAGTTCCAACTTCACATTCCTTTCTGTAAAATAAAGACCCAAACATTTCTTTACTTCCAGGAGTTTATGTTCTTTGCCATAGCAGGGAGCCGCATTTCTCTGATAATTTTAAAGATCTTTGCTCCCTACAGAGAGTGTTTAAAAACCACCTTTGAAAATAACCAATTTTGACTTAACTAGAAACTGGAGTTTGTTTGGTTCTTACAGAAAGAATGAAAAAAAAAGTTTCTGCAATGAAATACACAACAACATGGATGATGATTTTCAAAAATATTATGCAGATAACACAAAGGATAAATACTGGAGGGGATGGATACACCATTCTCCATGATATGATTACTATGCGTTGCATGCCTGCATCACAACATGTATCCCACAGATATATGCACCTACTATGTACCCACAGAAATTAAAAAATATATATTATGCAGAGTAAAATAAGCCTTACCCAAAAGGGTGCCTACGGTGTGACTTCATTTAACAGATGTTCTAAAACAGGCAAAATAATATATATTGAAAAAAAAAATCAGAACATTGGATCATCTGGGTGGAGGGAGACAGAGGAGGAGGCCTCTCCAGTCAGAAGAGGCCATAAGGGAACATTCTAGGGTGGCGGTGATGCTTCATGCCTTGGTAAGGATTTGTTACCCATTTGTCAACATTCTGCCAATATACACTTAGGGCATACATTTCATTTTATGTTAATTTTCCTTCAAAAGAAAAAACTGTAAATGAATATAGAACTCTGATTAATGACGTAATTAAGGATAAGTATAGTGATGTCTGTAATTTACTCCACAATGCACCCAAAGAATATAAGGCGGTCTGATGAAGGGAGTGATCTGAGTAGTAAATAGTTAATGGTAGAATCTAGTAGATAATATACAGCTATTCCCATAAAATCGTCTCAACTTTTTTCATGATAACATGAAATTTCTCATAATAACACGTTGCGGGAAAGTAAAAGGCAGGCGGTACTTATTAGCAATTAGGCCGGGAACCCAGGCTTCGGCTGGGAGCATCTCAGACAAACTGGACATGGGGCCACCCCACGCGTAGCGGATCCTGACTCTTCATTTAAACCTGCCTCAAGGCCACTTTCATGGAGTCAAGATATGTGTTTCCTCTGGATTTTGTTATACAGTGCTCAGAGTCCTCACAAAACTATGCAAAAGCCATGCGTCACCCCTTCTTCCAATACAGAAGCTGGAGAATTTGTGTGTAGCAAAGGGCAGATATGAGAGCCAGTTCTGAGCGATGATAAGTGAGTAGATTTATTACAGCTGAGCATCCCAGAAAGCTTTTTAAAGAGGAGAGAATCAGCAGGCTTCCCCTTCTGCCCTTTTTCCGCCTCTTCTCCCTTTGCCTTCCTTTGCCTCCTTATGCCTGCCTGGAATACAGACACAGTGCCTGGAAGTAAGGCAGTCACTTTGCAACAATGAGGATAAAAACCCACAATCCAAGGGTGGCAGAGCAGGAAGCCAGATGGAGCCTGGATATCAACCGTGTTCCAGTTACACTGAGATGTCTTGTTACCTGACACAAATACATCTCTTATTATTTAAACATCCTTGGGTTTTCGGTTACATTTAGCGAAATGCATGCCTAACTGATATTCAGGGTTCTTGCATCAGCTCTCGAAAAAGTTTTATGTTAATTCACATTAATTTGTGCAATTTATTGGGCTGAAAGATTTGAACAGGAAGGAGGAAAGGAGGAACGCCACAGAACTAAACAAACAGGGGATCATGAAGCCCGAGTGTGTGTCTGTGTGTTTGCGGGGACGGGGGGTGTTAGAAGCAAACCAGTGTGTCTTCCTTTTCCTCCTCTACCCTCTTTAACATTTTTTTTTATTTTTGAGACAGAGTCTTGCTCTGTCGCCCAGGCTGGAGTGCAGTGGCGCGATCTCGGCTCACTGCAAGCTCCACCTCCCGGGTTCAGGCCATTCTCCTGCCTCAGCCTCCCAAGTAGCTGGGACTATAGGCGCGTGCCAACACGCCCGGCTAATTTTTTGTATTTTTTAGTAGAGATGGGGTTTCACCATGTTAGCCAGGATGGTCTGGATCTCCTGACCTTGTGATCCACCCGCCTCGGCCTCCCAAAGTGCTGGGATTACAGGTGTGAGCCACAGCTCCCGACCCCTCTTTAACAGTTTTGTGCTGAATCTGATTAAAATAAACACACAGAGTAGGCTTGAAATGAAGAGAAGCTGTTGCAGAGAGCATGATACAGCAGGCTGGGAGGGGCTGTAGAGAGAACAAGGGAAATTGTTGCCAAAGTGCTAGCCCTAGGGTTACATTAACTGTGCGTGTGAGTATACACGAGGAACGCAGGTCGTTCTTCATCCCAGCTTCTAACCACCTCCCTGCATTCCCAGTCGACGGCTCTGCCTGGTAGCCAAAGCCATATGGGCCTCCGAATGCCTGGGGTCCGGAAATAACTACATGAAATGCTGAGCCCCGGGATATCTTGGGGACAGTGGCGGGGAGCCCCATCTGCACTGATGGCCGGGAGTCACGAAGATGCAGGAAACGAGGACGGCCAAGTGACTCTGCAGGCATCGCCGCGACTCTCTAGCCCCAGGTTCTTAGATGAGGTTTCAATAAAATAATTTGAGCAGAATGAATTCATACTCCATGAAAACATAGAGGAGATACAAATCCCTACCTTTCTCATGTTCCCAGAAACTGCTGGCTTCCTGCCCATGGCATATGAAAACCTGTAATCTGCTAAACTTTTAGAAAGGATGATTTCACTTAACATTGGTCTGTAGGACACTTCAGATAAAGGTCTTTCAGCATCTTATGATTCAGCATTACCACGTCATTCTGATATTGTTTAAGCCTCTGTCATCAAGCTAGGCGGCAACGCTCGGCTGGTAACTCAGGCGGCGAACGACAGAGCGCAGGTGGAGAAGCATCACGCGGTGGCGTCCTGGGGTCCACATGGTGAATTTCACTGGACACTTGCTTATTACAGAACCTAAAAAATATTGTAAACATCTTTCAAAGCCAAACCTCGCCCCGCCTCAACAACTAACACTATGTGAGTGGCCCGTGAGCTTATAAATCTGGAAGTCACATTCGATCACGAGCAGGGAGGGAGTTAACTTTCATGGCCAAACCTGTTTTCTGCTTAGGACAGGATTTTAAAAAATTGCTAGTGAAAATTGCTATGACACAGATGGAAAATTACCAAGCACTGACGGTTTCACTTTGAGATGATTATTCTGCCCCGTTTTGTTTTTGAAAATAGCAGCTTTTTAGAAAATAGAAAATGGTATTTTTTGGGCTTCAAAGTTTTTGCCCCGCCTTAGTTACACACGAGGTTTAAAACAAACCATTTTATTTCAAGGAATGTACCTACTGGAAACGCGTACAAGTGGACGTGCTAGTATGTATTTGTGTGTGCAGTTTAATCATTCATTCCAGCTCTCCCTGGAAACTTGACCGTGGTGATTTAGTGGGCACAGAGCTGGGATACTTGGATATCTACGACCTGCACATCAAACCCAAGCATCACAAGCACCACACAAGCCTCTGGATACGTGGGCCTCTGACACAGCCGCCCCTCTTCACACTAATGTTCAGCATCCTTTGGGCATGGCTTCCATTACATAGGTCACCGCATAAACCCAGACACTTTGCCACTCATTCTTAGCAAGGTGTAAATACGAAGAAACACTGTCATCCACATGTTAATTGGAAAAACAATTAAAATAGGTTTTATTGGAGTCCCTTAGAAATGCAGAAGGGGATTCTATTAATTAAAAATGAATAAAATGTGGGAGGCCAAAGAGAGAGGATCGCTTGGGGCCAGGAGTTTGAGATCAGCCTGGGCAACATAGCGAGATGACATCTCTGCAAAAATAAATTAGTAAAATCAAATAAACAAATAAAAACTCACAAAGGACTAAGGAAAATGTTCTTCCCCATCATTCTCTTTCTTTGAATGTCCGAATTGCATGTCAACTTCCCCTAAATCTTCCCTCTTCCTTCTCCCCAAAATACTCCTTTGAGTCAGTCTGAGCTGATGCTCACCCTTCTCCCTGTCCATCCATCCCTTTCTTTTCACCTGTAACTTTCTGGAAATCGATCAACTCTTCCTGGATTCTCTGTCTTCACCACTATCTCCTCACATAATCTCTGTCCAATAAAGACTCAGAAGTGAAGCAAGTTAAGACAGATGCCCTTCTCTGAGTGGGAGTGGGGAGAAGGTGCAAATACTCATGTAGTAATTATTTCTCCCGTCATTGTTTACATTAATGGGGATTCCACAGTCAAGGGGAAAATATAAATATTCAGAAAGTTTCTTAGCCAAATTCCAACTCCTTTTCTAGGAAATCACAACAAACAGTAAATCTCAAGACTGATCAACTGGAGTTCAGTTCCTCTATGCACCTTGCTCTTCTGACTTGGTACCATGAAAGGGGTGCTGCCAGGAAGCAAATGGGAAAAAAAAAAAGTTCCCCACTCCACCTGTAGCCATTGTAAAGCTAAAAGCACCCATCTTCAATCGCCAAGAACAAGTCAAAAACCACAATGACCGAGGCAAGGGCAGAATTATCTTCAGATGCATTCACAGATGTCTCCACACTGTATTTTTGTTAAGTCATCCATCAACCTCATGTATAACTCAGAAATGAAAAAACTTTTCTTAGAGATAATTTACAGCCTGGAAAAATAATCCACAATGGATTATATGGGGTCCACTGTGTGTGGGTGTTGACCACTGGAATATGCAGGATCCACTCTCTAGCGTTTGTTCAGTAAATAAGTTGGGTAGTGTATTCACTTGCTTTTTTTCACTCTTCCATCTTCCCCTATGCCTGAAACAGTGTAAATGTGCAACAAAGAAAAAGAAATGAGTTAGGGATACACTCAGAGCATCATATTTTTTGTATCATGAGGCACAGACAAATCGTTGCTATGTGTGTTAGAAATGCCAGGGTGAGGTGGTAGGCACTTGGCATTGAGGTACCCTCCTATGAAGTACTGGCTGTGGGTCAACTGCCCTTAGTTGACTCTCGCATTTTGTCTCATTATGTGCTGGTGAACAGCCAGCTGATGTCTGCTCTCCTAATCTTTCTGTCATTAATGATTGGCCCTCATTCTGGCAGCTTTTTGGCTTGAAACTGAACACTTCTGACAAGTTCTACAAAGCTGAGAATTTAGCCAAGGGGCTCTTTTGTCAATTAAAACATGTCATCCCGCAATTGCCATCAGGGGCTTTCCAGGGCTCTTGAAGTTCCATTGCTGTCTGGGCTTCAAGAATGAAAAGTAAAAATGTAAGACCTTGTGAAGTCATTCCTTCAATCACAGGAAAGGCAAAGTCTTACCAACTCATATTTAAATACTGGCCCAGAAAGGAGACATCCACACAAGAAGGGCATTTCCCATTTTCCCCATTTTCCCCATGAATGATTGTCTAGCGACTGGGAGTTACCTAGACAGCCAAAACAAATAAATCAGACCTAAGACACCACTTTGGGGTCTGAATTGTCCAAATTGGCTGTCTAACCAAGCTGCTAATTCAGAATGATGCTAATTCATAGGAAAATTGTTGAAACTTCTGCTTCAGCTGTTGAAAGCTGGCCTCAAGTTTCTTAATATTGTGTTACATGGGGCATGCACAGACATGTATCTTGAGCATAATATACTTATTATTATACGGCCATAAGTATGTGACTTAAATTCAACCAAAGCCTGAAATGTTTCTTCATGGAAGCCCAATTCATCACAATTGTTTAGTATAAAACACCAGGCTTACTTGTTTTACTCAGGTTCTATTTCCCTTCTTGAGATGATTTAAGAATTTTAATAAGCTGTAATCTGAAAACTCTCAGGACGTTTTTCAGGCTCTTCTGGGAAGAAGCCGCATAGATGAACCCAGCACTGAGACTGAATTATGTTCCCAAAATCTAAAAGCCAAAATGTCAGGTCAGTCCTCAGAGCCAGGGGGGCTGATTTACAGTATCCCCAAGTTCCCATGGATATGTAATCACTTCTTGTTTCCGTTGCCTTTGTAAATTTCATGTAACTTCAGAACGTTAATGCAGATACAGAGCAGGACGCACAGGCAAACACTCACAGAACAGGGAGCCTCACCCCAAACTCACACTTCCACTTAGTAAACCTCCCTGGATAGAGATTAACTTTCAACTTTAGCAAGTTGATAAAACCATCGAGTTGCTGATCAATTGGTTAACACCAAATTTATTCACAAAATTTCAGATGTGTACATTGAAAGACTTAAGTGAAAATCCACAGAAATCATGACAAGCAAGCTGAGATGGCTGTGAAGTTTTCCAAGATCTTTCAAAGCTGGACACCGTTCAAAGTTCTTCTCAAACCCCACATTCTCCGAATATGTGAGGATTCTTCCTCTGAGAGCTCCAAAGTCATGTCTAATTGTACAGAGATAGCCAAAACTCCAGGATAACAGAAAAAGTAAGAAAGGAGGGTAAATCACTAGAAAATTAGGAAGTTATCATATGCAGAAAGCAGCCCTGTCTTTGCCTTCTCGTTAAAATGAGGAGAAAGAGGAAACTAAGAGGTCTGGCTAAGTGTTTTCAAACTTAATTCACACAGAATCTAATGTTATTAATGATATTACAGATTCATTTTGCCAGAGTGAGTTTTTTACCATAATCTTGTAGGTTTGCACTTCCATGGCTGTTCTTACCATGACCACTTCTCTATTTCTTATCTTGTCTAAATTAACATAACTTAGTTATGCTCCGGGACTGAATGGTCAGGCTTTCCATAGGAATGGCAGCCACAAAAACGCTATCAGTAATTTCCTGCCCAGTTAGGATTTCACTTATTACTGATTCTTTCAATTCAAAAATATAGACGGCAAAGCCAGAAACGGTCTCTGCCTGTGTGGGGCTTCCAGTCCAGAGAGGCAGAAGCCATCATTCAATAGTCATGAACGGGAGTTAAATTAGGATTCTGAAAGGTTTTCCAAACAGAGGCAACGGGAGTTCCAGGCTCTTCCAACAGGGGGCGCCGCCCAACAGGGACGTCAGGACCCAGCTGCGGTCTGAAGGACAAGGAGAGGTAGGTGGGAGTTAACTCAGCAAAGCCAGGAAGACATGTCTGCCCAGGCAGGGAGACCAACATGTAAGACGGGGTGTGTCAGAGGGTGGGTGGTAAGGCTGCATGGTGAGGGTGAGGGTCTGCTGAGGCTGGGAGCAGCAGAGTGAGGGGGTGCTGGAGGCACTGGTGGGGCCACCCCTGCCAGGGTCTCAGACACCATATGAACAGCGCATTCTCCTAAGGACAGGAGGAAGCCATTGATGGCTTTTTGTGCTTTTCCCCAACTTTATTGAGGTATAACTGACAAATGAAAATTGTATATGCTTTCAGTACACCACGTAATGTTATGATATATGAATACATTGTGAAATAATTAGCACAATCTATTGATGTGTTGCAAGTTTCATTTTTATCAAGATTAATCTGGCTGCAGAGTCAGAACTCATTTGGAATGGGCAGCAGAGGGTTTGGCAGAGCTGACTAAAGGCTACACACTGGTCCAAGACAAAGACCCTGATGGCCTGGACTGGGGAAGGAGGGTGCTGAGAATGTGCAGTGACGGGGGAGTGAGGAGGGTTGAGTGGGGGGGAGGAAGGATGGGGGAGGGTAAGGAAGGGTGAGGAGTGAGTGAGGTGTGGATGAGGAGGGGTGAAGAGGGGTGAGGAAGAGACGAGGAGGGGTGAGCAGAGGTGAGGAGGAGATGAGGAGAGGATGAGGAGCAGTGAGGAGGGGTAAAGACAAGATGAGGAGGGGTGTAGAAGGGATGAGGAGGAGATGGGGAGGGGTGGGGAGGAGATGAGGAGGGGTGAGGAGGAGTTGAGGAGGGATGAGGAGGAGATGAGGAGGGTGAGGAGGAGATGGGTGAGGAGGAGATGAGGAGGGGTGAGGAGGAGATGAGGAGGGGTGAGGAGATGAAGGATGAGGAGGGGTGAGGAAGAGATGAGGAGATGAAGGATGAGGAGGGGTGAGGAGGTGATGAGGAAGAGTGAGGAAGAGATGAGGGGTGTGGAGGAGATGAGGAGGGGTGTGGAGGAGATGAGGGGGGCTGAGAAGTGGGGAGGGGTAAGGAAGAGATGAAGGGGGTGAGGAGGAGATGAGGAGGGGTGAGGAGGAGATGAGGAGGGGTGAGGAGGAGATGAGAAGGGGTAAGGAGGGGTGAGGAGGGGTGAGGAGTGAGTGAAGACGAGGTGGGAACTGGTAGGAAAAGGGAGGAGGTTGCTCACTTTTACCCTCTGGAACTGGGTCCTGGGCTTCAGAGACAGAATGAGCTGGACATCCACTGGCTTCCATGGGAAACCCCAAGTGTGGTTTTGAAGTGTGGAAATTGAGCTGCTCTGTGTATCTCAGAGGAAATGTGAAGTGGGCAGTAGGGTATGCAGGCCCCAGTCTCGGAGGGGAGTCCAGGCCGGGGTAGCCATGGATGAGTCACATAACCTGATAGAGGTTAAGCATCTTTTGTAACTCCTGTTACTAACCTTGCTAGTATTTACACATACAGCACTGGGAGTAAAATGTAAATAATAAAAACATCTGGACACTTCTGTTATCAATCACTCTTTGACACCATTCCTCCCCTCTTCTCTCCCCTCCAGGCTTGACGCTTCATCATAACTCCCACAGGCCCTTCATTCCACAGTTGAAATTCTTCTGGGAAATCTATTTGACTCTGCATTTCACACGTCAAAATCATTTTCTTCCTTCCTGGTTGGGAAACAGCAATTAAGGTTCTTCAGTTTAGCAAAAGTTACAATATGTCGATGTCTTGCACAGCCTGTTGCTAAATTCCCCCAAGACCTTGAGGTGCACTCCATTCAGACAACTTCTCTTCCCTCTTAGGGTACTTTGCACAGGTTGGGCAACAGAAAATGACTAAAAGAAATACAATATTTATTGGATAGCATAAAACCTAGTCTTTTTTTTCCAATAAACTGACAGTTTTCTACACTCTTGCCTAACTCTTCCAAATTTTCTTAACCATCCTTCCCCTCCCGTATGATCAATAGTTTAACTCAGTGTTATGTTTTATATATTTAATGCTGCAAAAGTCATTCAGAGGATCCAAGACTCACACAGACGTTAGTCTGGAAAGAGCTTGGCATTTCAAAATCTCAGTTTATCAGGTAATAATTGTTTTATGTGTTTTTAACAAAAATCTTTTTAAAAAGGCTTTCGGACCAACAAAACTATAATTTCACTGACAGTTACCTTTTGATCAATCTAAATTTAAAATGCATTACATTGAGCTACTCAAAGGCAATGGATTGTTACAGAAAGAATTTAACTATGGGAAGATCTGGTTCTAGAACTAGTTCTTCCTCTTTCTTCATTTATGAACCTAGAGGGAAGTCACTTCATCTCTTTGAATCTCAGTGTCTTCATCTGTAAAATGGGAATATTAGCACCTGGCTTCATAGGACAGTCTTTTAAATACTGCATATCTATGTAAACTCTCTTGGATTTACACATAAAATCTATCATTTTATTACTATATAAATGCAAACTATTGCTAAGACTTTCAAAAAAAAAGTTTTCTGTGGTTTTCTGAATGTCTGTTTCTTCTTGAAACTATCTGAAATATTTTTGATCGTCAGCATTCCTTCTAGCTGGAAGTAGTCAGGAAGCCTGAAGCGTCTTCGGAGCACCCTGTGACTGGGGACATGTGGAGACCCGCACTTGCACACGCTCATACCCTACGTGTCCTTGAACAAGTTATTGAAGCTCTCGGAGCTTTTCCTTAAAGTCACACGATCTCTGAAGACCTGAACGTTCCAGCCAGGTGCTTGGCATGCAGCAGGCTTTCCCTTCACGCTATTGCCTTTGTCCTTTCTCCTTCTTTTCTTCCCCAAACTCCCTCCCGGCTATGTGAGCGTTCCCCCTCAGGAGGGCTATTTCACAATGCTGCTGGCCTGTGGGCGGTTATGACTGCCCCGGGTGGCTTCTGCTCCTGGGTCAACATTCCGGCTGCTCACCACAACTTCCACGGAGGGCTGCTAAGCGCCCCTGGGACTCCAGTAAGCCTCAAAGGCTCCCAAGGCAATTTCAGATCATGAAAACACAAGACATTAGAGTTATGTTTCAGAAAATAATTTCCAAATGCCATCAACTCCCCAGAAACACCCCACTCTTGCCACCCGCCCTCCTCCCCAACAATGCCAGCAGGCCCACAGCAACTGGGGGTCGCCCTCAGAAGTACCAGGGCCAGGCCTGCAGCAGGGCGCACTGACCGAGCCCAAGGCACTGCACCCACCACGCTCCTCCAATCCCTCCTGCCCTTGCTCTCTCTTGTTTCCTTCTTCCTCTCTGGGAGGCTCCGCCTTTTCTCCTGAAAACCTTTTCCAGAGAGCAGAACAAGAGCCTTCATCCAGGAGATGCCCTCTTCACAGTGTTGCTGGCCTAAATCCTGGCTCTTTATGGCTCTGACCGAATGTAAACAGTTATGACCCAATGGGCAGAATGGTTATTTTTGGAAGGGCACATCTGTTTGCTTTGGAGAAAACTCACCAGGCTGGGAGTGACAAATACTTTTCCCTTTGCTCAAAGATCATTTCTTTGGGGCAATTTGGCAATAGCCAAATTTTCAGATGGTATTTTTTTGAAGGGTCAGCATGTGAACCATACGCAGGAGCTGGGTTGTACTCCCACACTCCCAGGAGGGACTGCCAAGCCGGTCAGCATGCAGGAAATGAAGTTGCAGCACCGCTGGGGGGCATCCAGCTGCCCTCCTTCACATTGTTACGGCAGGCCCTCCCCATGGCTGGGGTACTAATCTGAACTCCCCATCATTCTGTGAGCCCCCAAAGAGCCTGCTTTGATGACCCCCTTCCCATGGAGACACAACCCAGAATGGCATTCCTCTGAGAGTATTGTCTGTGCGCGTCCGTGTGCCACGGTGAACAGTCATCCTCAACAACCTGCCTGTTTTCCAATAAAAATGAAAGCTGCTTAATGGACAAAGAGTTTCAGTTGAGGAAGATGAGAAAGTTCTAAAGGTAAATGATGGTGATGGTTGCACAACAGTGTGAATGTACTTAATGCCTCAGAGCTTAAAATGGTTAACTTAAAAAATGGTTAAAACAGGCCACCAGGCACAGTGGCTTATGCCTGTAATTCCAACACTTTGGGAGGCTGAGATGGGAGGATGGCTTGAGCCCTAGCAATTCAAGGCTGTCGTGAGCTATGATCATGCTACTGCACTCCAGATTGGGCAACAGAGCAAGACCCCATCTCTCAAAAAAAAATTTAAAACAGTAAATTTTACGTTATGTGTGTTATATATGTGTAATATATCAGATTATTGTTTGTTCTTATGTCATTGGTGTAGAACTCCGAAAAGTTTAGTGTCAGAAAAAATGTTAACTGGCAGTCTTTCAGGTCCACCCAAGCATTCCTACACACTTCAACGCACTGCATTGTGACTTGATGTCAACTGTTTTTCTCTACCATGCTGTCAGCAAAATCAGTGTGTCAATTTCTTTACATGTAGAAACACATGCATAGAGGCATTTTCTGCAGTAGACACCGTGAGATAAGAACAAAAGAGCTTCCTGGCCAACGTGGTGAAACCCCATCTCTACTAAATATACAAAAATTAGCTGGGTGTGGTGGCACATGCCTGTAGTCCCAGCTACCCAGGAGGCAGAGGTAGGAGAATTGCTTGAACCTGGGAGGTGGAGGTTGCAGTGGGCCGAGATCGCACCACTGCACTCCAGCCTGGTGACAGAGAGACTCCATCTCAAAAAAAAAAAAAAAAAAAAGAACAAAAGAGTCATCCATGGTGATGGGAGAAATAGGAGGGTCAAGTACAGATACGATGTCAGAGCTAGTGGCTTTCAGGCAAATTAAGCTCAATAACCAACGTTTTGCTCCTGGAGAGGGCAGACATACTGCTCTCAGGTGCTTTAGAGCTGGTACGTCATTCAACCTTCTCAGGAGGCTGCTTAAACTTATTATTTGCTGCTGAAAAATCCTCCAGAAACCATTAGCTTATATTAATGTAAGGCCACTAAATTCTTTCCTAATGACAGAGCCATTCAAAGTGGCTAGTTTGAGAGACGTACAGCTAACTTTACACCAGGGACGTTTTATGGAGAAACTAGACCTGGTGATGCCTTCTTTAAGTGCCCCCCTCAATCACCCCAATGGGAGTTGTCTTGGGGGCCATTGGGAAAGAAAGTTATACCCGTGAAAGGGAATGACTTTCATTTTCCCTCTGCTCCAGAACTCTTAATGACTCGCCCAGGACTAGCTGTCTTGCTTTTGAATTGTGGCAGCTTAATCACGTCAATCACTGTAGGCAACAGCAGTAGTATATGACATCTAAAACCCACCTTTCAGGCCAGGCCTGGTGGCTCACACCTGTAATCCCAGCACTTTGGAAGATAGAAGCTGGAGGATCGCTAGAGGCCAGGAGGTTGAGAACAGTCTGGCAACATAGTAAGACCTCATCTCTACAAAAAAACAGAAACGCCCAAACAAACAAAAACTAGCTGGGCTTGGTGGCATGTGCCTGTAGTCCCAGGTACTCAGGAGGCTGAGGTGGGAAGATCACTTGAGCCCACTTGAGCCCAGGAGTTCAAGACTGCAGTGAGCTATGATTGTACCACTGACCCCACCTAGGTGACAGAGTGAGATAATATATCTAAAAAAACAAATAAACAAAACATTCATCCCCCGAATGCTTGGCAATTATCAAGAAATTATTTCAGTCACTCTTTCTTCATGTGTCCTGAGAAATTCTTGAAGAAGTGACTGCTTCCTAAGAGAACAATACCAAATGAGAAATGGGCACAGGTATCATTTTCACCTGTGGAATGAATCATATTTTTACAAGCACTTTTGTTTATATAGATACAATTTAATCTTACAAATCACAAGAGCAAAGCAAATTATACTTGTTTGAGAGGTATAAAAACTGAGGCCTTAAAGACCGGAATTCAGACCCGAGTCTCCATCTCTTAACTCAATGCTTGCTCAGATACATGCTTACAAAGGTGCCCTGGGGACATTATTAGCCTGCAATTTCCCAGGGATATTTTGAATTTTCCTGGACAACTCTGGATTCATCCTCAAGAACCCACCCAACACATAGTTACTACATACAGTGATAGGAAGTAGAAAAAAGAGTATGTCTCTCTCTCTTATAGACGGGTCTTGCTCTGTTACCCAGGCTACAGTGCTAGAGTGCAGTGGCGCAATCATAGCTCACTGCAGCCTCGAACTCCTGGGCTCAAGCAATCCTCCCACCTCAGCCTCTTGTGTAGCTTGGACTACGGGCATGGGCCACCATCATGCATGGCAAATTTTTTTTTATTTTATGTAGAGACAGGATCTCGCTCTGTTGCTCAGTTATATGGTTTGGATTTGTGTCCCTGCCCAAATCTCTTGGTAAATTGTAATCTGCAATGTTGTGGGAGGGGCCTGGTGGGAGGTGATTTGATGATGGGGGAGGACTTCCTTCTTGCTGTTCTCATGATAGCGAGGAGTTCTCATGAGATCTGGTTGTTTAAAAGTGTGTAGCGCCTCCTCCTTCACTCTCTTCCTCCTGCTTCCACCCTGTAGGACGTGCCAGCTTCCTGTTAGCCTTCTGCCATGATTGAAAGTTCCCTAAGGCCTCCTCAGCCATGCTTCCTGTACAGCTTGTGGGACTGTGAGCCAATTAAACCTCCTTTCTTTATAAATTACCCAGTTTCAGGTAGTTACTGAAAGAAATGTGAGAACTGACTAATACAACCAAAGTAATCTGAAACTCCTGGCCTCAAGCGATCCTCCCAACTCATCCTCCTAAGTAGTTGGTACTACAGAAGCACACTACCATGCCTGGCTATTCTTTTTATTTTTTGTAGGGATGGAGTCTCTCTACGTTGCCCAGGTTGGTCTTGAACTTCTGGCCTCAAGCAATCCTCCCATGTCGGCCTCCCAAAAGTGCCAGGATTACAGGCATGAGCCACTGTACCCAGCCAAGTATTATTTTAATGTTTTTAATTATTTATTTTAATATTTTAATGTTCAATAAATATTTTATTACTTTAGAGTTTTGAAGATGAGTGAGCACATTTGTAAAGAGAACCAAATTTGTAAAACAGAACCTCTAGAAATGGATTGTTCTCTTTGATCCAGAGGCAGATGCTTCCTGCCATTTGCTCCTCAATGAGTGGGGAAGCTAAAGGAGTCATCTTGATCTGCTCCTCCCCTGTGTGAAAACAGTAACATTTACTAATGTTTAGTGAGCACTCTGCAAGTGCTTCACCTGCATGATCTCAGTCCCCACTCGCAACCAGCCCATGAGATGGATGGTGTCAGATGGGTTGCCATGGGAAACAGAGACGTGAGTCACAGAGATGCCAGGAAGCTGGCGTAGCTTGAACTTGGCAGAGCCAGATATCGAAGACAATTGCTTCAAAGTGTGTACAGACCGTCCCTGACTTAAAATGATTCGACTTCAGGATGGTGTGACGCCTTCATAGAAACCGTACTTCTCTCATGGTGCTAGGCAGCGGCAGCGAGCCCCACTCCATCAGCCACACATGTTCAACTTAGGATATTTTACAACAAATCCAGTTTAGGATGGGTTTGTTGGGCTGTAGCCCTGTTGTAAATGGAGGGGCATCTGTACTCTTAACCTCTGCTGTACTGTGTCATTTTTCAGACTGCTGTCTTATAAGCAATCAAAACCTCCCACACATCTAATTATAAGAGCAACTTCTATTCATCCTCCCCACCATATCCTCATTCTTTGTACAGAAAAGACTGACATAAATCACACACATACACACACACACACACACATACACACACATCAGAGCTTCCCATCCACTGGAGGATGAGGAAAGGATGCGATGTGTGTTTGCCTGTGTGTGCAGCCACATACATAGAAAGAGCTAAGAGTTAACAGACCTAACATCCAAGTCATTTTGCAGGCAATTCTCCTTTATGGGACACCACAACTCTGATCAAACCATTGCAGAGACAGGCCGAGCCGTGGGGACTTTTGGAATGCTTGTTACTCATCAAACTCTTTTCTTTGCCTGGCTAACACCATCCCATCCTTTGAGTCTCAGCCCAGAAGTCCCTTCCTTTAGATTAGCTTCCAGACTCCCAAGGCCAGGTCAGCCCCACCAGCCACAAGGTGGTGAATAGTAGACTGTTTGTAAAAGCTAGTGAGGGAAATGCCTGACTTGGTTAGACAGCCATAGGGTAGTGGGTCCTATGTGAGGAATCCTTCACCGAGGCAACCAGAGCCCACACGCCTGCTGTTCCTGGGGCCTGGCCCAGTTGTTAGGACTGCAGATAGTAGGAGTGGGATGGATGCTTGGGCCACTGTGAACAGAGCTGTCTGGTGCCTATCACCTACTATTTTGCATTTATAGCCACACCAAACTTGATGTATCAAGATCCTGGGTTTCTAGGTTTCTTTATTCCCTGTGTCCATTTTTGGCCAGAAGAGTGAACGGAGGAGATTGTGTAACATAGAAGTCAGTGGGGCCACCAGGTCCTCCAGGATTCAACTAAAGTTGGCTAAGCCTCCTTCCCACATCCTGTGGGAAGGCCAGGGACCTACCCAAGATTTCTGCAAACTCCGTGGGAGTGACAGTCCCATGGTCACCTCTTGTTCCAATCTTCTGACCTCCTGACCTCTTGAACTCATGCACAGCTCACCTCCTGTGACCGTCTCCTTCTCTCTGTCCCATGTCACCCCAACCCAGCCACAGCTTCCACCACCCCACGCTCACACAAGTCGGTGGGTGTATCAAAGACCCTGACTCAAGATTAAGGAGGATGGGGATGGGGTGCACACCACGCAGCGTAGCAGATAATTCAAGACAGGAAGTCAGGCATCCCTCCTCCAGAGCTGCTCCCATGAGCCTCTTGGCTGACTTTCCCCCACATCTCTGGTGTCCCGACATGGGGGAAATGCTCTCAACGTGCTCTCGCACCTCTCTTTCAAGTGTTATTGTTGGTCTCCACCCACCATCTCCTGTTATTTTCTAATACCATGCAGTTTCTCCATTTCTTGGTCATTTCCTGACCATTGCGGACCATGCCCTCGTCTTCATAAACAAACATGCTCATTTAGATATATTCCTAAGCAAAGTCAGCTCTGTCCAAGGGAGGAATTCCACAGTCAGTTCTTAAAGTGACTTTCTGCTCAGCATTTCCCAGCAGGAATTAAAACGGCCCTTGTATAGAGAGGGAGGCGGATGGATGAGTGAAGCAGGGGTGGATGAAGTGGAAGATGTGCCTGGCAATTCAGGCTGTGGACCCACAAGTAGCCCACATGGCAGATGGCCAGCCCAGAGCCAGAGCTGCCTTCAGTCATTTGGTAAAACACCATCAAGCGCTTCACGGGTGATGGTCACAGTAAGTGCCGGGCTTGAAACGGAATACAAATCCAGCCCACCCCCAAGGCGCTCACTGCCGTGGGCAGGCACCAGGAAGCATGGTTTTCAGGGCTGTGGGTTCTGTGAGATGCCACTGAGGCCCAGCACCCCCATCATGTTGCCATCTGATCATGGAGGGTGACTAAAACACCGGGACCGTCGGAGGCCTGGGTTCCTCCCCTCGTGCTGGCCTCTGCTGTTGCTGGCATAGGAAACAGAAAGGTGAGCAGTGATCTCAGGGTGCAGCCTCCCCACCCTCCTTCACCTCCCTTCTCCACCTGGCCCCACCCACAATCAGTCAACATTTCACCAGTTTCTCCACATACTGGATGCTGTCCATTGATGCCTAAGCCACATCCCCAATCCCCCTTCTCTTCCTCTGAGAATCCCCATTGTATCCGGTTTCCACCCTACTCACAGTGATGTCATCTCCTGCCCAAATACTATGGGCTGAATCCTGTGTCCCCCTAAAATTCGTGTGTTGAAACCAACACCAAGGTGACGGTTTAGGAGGTGGGGCCTTTGGGAGGAGATTAGGTCATGGGGGTGGAGCCTCCTGAGTTGGATTTGTGCCCTCATAAAAGAGGCTCAAGAGAGACACCTCAGCCCGCCATCCACATGAGGACACAGCAAGAAGAAGCCATCGATGAAGGAAGTGGGACTCCACCAGACAGTGACCTGCTGGCACCTTGATCTTGGACTTCCAGCCTCCAGGACTGCTAGGGCTGTTTATAAATTTCTGTTGTTTAGAATCCACCAGCTGATGGTACTTTGATACAGCAGCCCAAACAGATGAAGACACCCAGGGAAGATTCTGACTCATCTTAGCCAACCACATTTGCCCCGTTTGCCCGAGAGGCATGGTAAATGAGGGAGCCTGCAGAAGGGGCATCTCTGAGACATCCCCTTCTCCTCTGGTGAGACTGGTGTCCAGCAGGAGCTGGACTGTGCAGCCAGCCTGCAGCCAACCAGAGGGCAGCAGGAAAGATGGAACAGGAATCTTGGTCTCCAGTGACATTATTGAGCGGCTGTTCTGTGAGGTCATAAATTCTTGGGTTGTCCAAGCCAGTGGGAGCCAGAACTTTACGTTATTTATGACTGAAAACAACTAATACAGCAGGAGCACAACAGCTGTTTCTGCAAAATATATATTAAAGTACATCTGTGCCTTGCCAAGAGCAATGGGACCCTTTTGGCGTTGTCACAAGAACTGGGGGGGCAATGGCCTATGATGCACAGGACTGTTCCCCAAAATAACTATCTCACATTCTGCAAGATCTGAGGATGTTCTACTGTATAGCCATGTAGGTGAGAGGCCTGCTTGTAGCATTATCTGTGCCTAGAATCTAACCCCATTCTACATAAAAGCACAAAGAATCTTTACACAGGTTTAATATACAGTGATCATGTAAATCTTGAGACTTTTTAAATTTTATTGTTGGAACAATAACAAGATTGGGCACTGGTTTGGAAAATCAGCTCACATTTTGCAAAGCTGCCCACTTTTGAGCCCCACATGTATTCATTCATTGTTCATTGTTCATTCATTCATGCTGACGCTGTTGATTTCCGATGGTTCTCTATGCACATGCACCCATCTGACTTCTTCACTATGTCGTCCTGGCACAAAACTACCTGAGCATTTAGCAATTCATCATTACATTGATTTTTAAAAACATATTTGTAAGTGGATGAATTTCTTTCATGGTGTGTTACAGAATATTTTTTAAAGGATGGTTCCAAAGTTGTATACATACACAAAACTGATCAGATTGTACACCTCAAAAACATACTTCCATTATTCCTCCATAAAGTGGGGAAGAGTGGGATCTTGAGTCTGATAAAGTCACTGGAATAGATAATCCGTGAGGTCTTTTCCAAATCCTAAAATTTCACAAAACCCTATTTCTATTGCATAAAGAATCTTGGGTCACAAACTGTAAATAGGTCAGCAACTTCTGGAGATTTATATTGCCATAGAGGGCATAGGTTGGCCCCTTTTGGCTTGGACTTTTATTAAAGTGTGCTACATGAGAAGATGCTTGATAAATATTGTCCATCTCAAGAGACTGATCATTCCCGTGTGTATCTGATACTACTGGCTCTTACTCTGCCGAAGATAATTCTTGGGAAATTTGAATGTGAAAAACCCTTTCAGATCCTCTTCACCACACCACTTCCAAATCTGACCCTAATTACTTCATAAGCTGTTACTCTTCTGGGTAGTTGATTTATGCTTAGAGATTGGTTCATGGTAAGCTAAGCCCAGAGCAAGTCGGGTGCTGAAGCTGGCTCCTGCTGGCTTCTGAGAGAAAACCATGTGCTGTCCTTCACAACTCCATGTTGAGTGGCCTTGTATTGGTGGCTTATAATCACTCATGAAGGGAACATTTACACCTTAGAAATAGGCAAATGCTGCCAGGGCTTTTCACTGTTGGAGAGCTGATTGTTAAGTATTTGCCAGCACACTACTATCCAGAGCGTGAGCAGACGCCTTCTCCACTTCGATATGCCCAGACTCTGTGCTGAGGCATATGGGGGGCAGACTCTTACTCTTAAAAGTTCACATAAATTGGCTGGGCACGGTGGCTCACGCCTGTAATCCCAGCACTTTGGGAGGCCGAGGCAGGCAGATCATCTGAGGTCAGGAGTTCATGACCAGCCTGACCAACATGGTGAGACACTGTCTCTACTAAAAAAATACTAAATTAGCTAGCTCTGGTGGCACATGACTGTAATCCCAGCTACTCAGGAGGCTGAGGCAGGAGAATCGCTTGAACCTGGGAGGCGGAGGTTGCAGTGATCAGAGATTGCGCCAGCCTGGGCGACAGAGCAAAACTCCGTCTCAAAAAAAAAAAAAAAGAAAAAGAAAAAGAAAAAAAGAAGCTCACATACATTGTAGCTTCATTTTGAATATTAGAATCTGCTTCTCTGTTATCAGAAGACTGAGGATATGTACTTGTGACCTTGACCTTTCCTAGGAGTAGGTAAAAGATCTCTAGATGATTGGGGAAAAGGTGGGTTCATGGATAAGCGGGTAGCAGGGAAGTAAAATGTTGCCAAATATGCACGTGTATGCATGTGTTTGTACGTGTGTGCACGTGTGTGTGTGTGCATGTGCGTGTGCCTGTGCATGTGTGTGTGAAAGCTGGCTTAAAAATCAAAGTTCACAAATGTTGGCCCCAGCTAACAAGTCTGACATCAACGGTCTGATTGCTGGAGGTTCATTAGTGCCTCTTACTGAATGGGGTTTGGCAGCGGGCTTGTTTTCCATTGGCACGAGAGAGTTAAGAAAGAAACTGCCAACAAGTTTTTCAGCCAACCAGATTATAATCAGCTTGCTCCACCTGAACCTGGTGCCCATACAGTCATTTCAGTTAACACCTGGAAGTCTCCAGAAGTTGGTGGGAAGCAGATGAAAAGATTCAGAGTTGGGGAAAACATGTTAAGGGGCTGGGCCTTGAGCTCACAAATAGACTTGGGTTGCAGCCCTGTGAGATGAAGAAAACCCATGTGTGATGAAATACAGGAGTGCGCCCTGGAGGTATAACTCACACTGACAAATATAGACATTCTATGGCCTACAGATCCTCCTAACCCAGGGAGAAGGCACGGAACTTTCCAGGCATCTTGGATGTTTCTGCGTCTCAGGGAAGTTTCTCTGGTGGCCCCCCTTAGGGATCCCTCTGCGCTCTTGTCTTCCTTCCTTCCCTTTGCTGTCTCCTGGCCTCCCTTCAGGCACATATTTACTCAGTACAAGTTTTCCTGCCAAGCACAAGATGCCCTCTTGCTCCCTCTCCACGCCCTGTTAAAACCCACCCCCAGAAATGGATCTAATGTCAGCCATTTCTTCCTCGCTCATCTCAAGCCCAGTCACATCCAGTCAGAAGAGGTGTCTATCTAACATAACATGCTGCTAGGACGGTGACACCGGGGTGTTATTCAGCTCCTGGGAGGGTCTGAATCGCTATACATCAGCCTGGTTGAGTTTTGTCTCCTCTGCCTTGCTGTGGAGTTGACACACTGTGAGGAAGTTTCTGGTTACTTTGCAGATATAATTAGTTGGCTCCAGACAAAAATTAAGCACTCCTCTGAGTTTCTGTAAACAATGAATTTGTTGGTTTTTTTCTGAGTGGATACAGTGGGTACAGGGGAGTTGGGGGAGGCTACTGGGGAGTGGTTCACTGAAAAGATATTGAAAGCATAACAACAGAAAAGCAGGTAGCAAAAAACAAAACAGTACAATTGACAAATAGGATTTGGACTATTTCTGATCAGAAAAAAATCCCTTGGGAATAGAAAATCAGAGCCATCATGCCTAAAGGGACGTTAGACAGTGACCCTGGGAGACAGGGATGCATCCTCTGGTTGATGCTAAGAAGTCCCTGGTGTTTGCAATCAGCCCAGGGCAGCGATGGGCGGTAACAGCAGGATGGTCCTGAGCAGCGGAATTCTGCCAAGCTAAAGGGCTTCTCCTGATGCCTCCGCTTCCATACACATCTGCTCAGGTGCCCTTTAGAAACTTGCTTTCATCCATGCAGTCCTCGAGATTCGCATGAAGTTATTTAGTTAGGACTTTTTTTTTTTTAATTTGGAGGGGTACATAATATTATTTGCCCTGGATCTTAGAAATCCATGTTACAGTGCAAAAAGCATACCTCCAAACTGGCCATTTATTAGGGAAAAATTATATCTCAATACACTTCAAAAGTAGAAAGCACACAGGTCAAGTTTGTTTTCTGTCGTGTGTGTGTGTGTGTGTGTGTGTGTGTGTGTGAATTTTTAAAAGGTAAAATCCTCATGACTTTCATAAAATGAACATATCAAAGATTTTGTTTACATCATTAACCAAGGAGGGCATCAGTAAGATATCAACTACAGTTCAAAATAGAATTAAACACACACACACGCACACACAGGAACACACACGCATACACACACAACACACACATACAACACACACATACAACACACACACAACACACACCACACACAACACACAACACACACAGCACACACACACACGCACACACAACACACACACAACACACACACGCACAACACACACACACGCACACACACAACACACACATGCGCACAACACACACACAAACACACACGCGCAACACACACACAAAACACACACACGCTCGCGCGCGCTGGGGTTGGGGGGCGTGCAGGGGCAATTAGGAATGTTGAAATGAACTTACAAATAGATGCAAAATGTGTCAACATCTACAGGGGCAATAATTAATGTTATCACCACTGGAACTAATTCAGCATTTCTTTGGTCAAGAATTATTTGTATTACTATGCAACTTTTTCAACGTACAGTGTTCTAAAATAGCTCATAGATGATGAAAGTCAGAGATAACCTGGAAGGGTGTGCTGCACCGGACACCCAGTAATCTTTTTGCCCATTTCAAACTTTTCAAAAATGTTTCAGTATATGTGTGTGATTCTTAATTGCACTTACACATCCTTGGACAATCACTACATATTGTTAGAATAAGAAAGAACTCAGCAATGAATCTTTTACTAATTTCTGTTTTATACAGAAACTCTGTTCACCTAAAAAGGTAGATGGTAAGTGAAGGATTTGTTGGTGCAATGTCACTCAATTCTTTGAACTTCTGAGTAATATGCCAGAAGTCATATTATGACTGATAATCAAAGTTATTTTTAATGCTCTATTAACTGCCAATCTCATTAAATCTTCCTTTAATTTTACTGAAGGCAAAGTATTAAAAATAAGCTGGTTCCTCATTTGCTTTCTCAACACCAATGTTTTGAATTGTTTCCTTGTTGCCCCAAGCACTTTTACCTCCTGGAGCAATGTGCCCTAATGTGAGGAAGAGGCCTGTCTTTCTTTTGTAAAATTGGAAAAGAGCATCTGAGAAGGAGGGGGAGGGAGAAGAGAACTAGGCTCACTCACACACAGTGTTCTCCTACCCTTGATATCCCCCAGTGCTTGGCGCGTGGTAGGATTTTTAAGAATTAACAGAAACGACCAAATAACTGAATTAATAGGTGTCCAAAGTAGATTTACTATAAAACAAAGCTGATGCTGCAGTGCCCTTCATTGCACGATCCCCTTCCAGGGCCTGGGTGAGCACCGCAGGCAGTGTCCATGTGAGCATGTATTTCTTGAGGGGGCCTCTAACACTGTGCCCATGTGCTCATATGTAATACAATTTGCAAAAGTAAGCTACTTTAAGAGCAACGGATTCGGATCTTTTTCCATGCTCATGTCCCGTTCATCAATTTCTCCTCTGCAGGGTGAGCTGTGGTGCCCGCAGGCCAACTGGGTTCCAGTTAGGGGCAGTAGAGTTGGGGACATAATTAATTTGGATTTAATGGAATAAATTTATGTGACTTCCAGGCGCTCTTCTTACTGTTAAACGATTGCTAATTATCCTAATGTAGGGATGGCTTCTAGGAATGTCCCTGTTGCACACTGTGTCTACTCACCAAGCAGAAGAACTGATGATTCAGGACCAGCGATAAGAATGCATCCTACAGCACCCAGCTGTGTGTAGCAGAGGGAAGACAAATTTCTCCAGTCATCAGTGATGTAAAGTGATCTGCACAGGGCCAGCAACATCTTCTCAAAATGAAGTTCACCATGCTTTCTTTCTTTTTTGATGGGAATGGCATATTTGATAAAATTGGAACACATTTTTTTAGCAATTAAGAAAGAAAAAACATTTTAATAAAATAAATGAACCCTTGACTTGAATGTATTTTGAAGTGTTGTCTTTTGTCAAGCTTAAATTTATTAAGGACCTGAGAGAAAAATTCACATTAAATTCAATGGAATATGAACAAATGTCAAGAAGCTATGTGATGGAATTAATAGAAATTATTCTGATATAGATGACCAATTTTAACCAAAAAGTGTCCAGATAATTCAAAAAGTAATCCATCAAAAAGAACAAATACATTCTGAGTCAAAATCATGAACAGGCCATTGTATTATTGGAAAATCTAATCAATGAAGATGCAAGAATCTCATGAACGTATTAAGGGTAAGATTTAAATGTCTTGTGGATTTGAGACAAATTAGTTACATCAATGAAAATACCATAAACTTCACAAAAGTTTGTTATAGGAAATCATTAACCAAACTAGCTAATGCAGGTCATCAATTCAATGAATATGTTTAGTCACTGTACATGAAAAACTGAAATGAAAACATGAAAAACTGAAATCTGCAGCTGAAGAATAATGAGGTTCATAAATTTGGTAAAAGAGCTTTATTTCTCATAAAGCATCGCAGCCTGCAGGCTGGCCATCTTGCAGGCTGGGAAGTGTAACCTCCATAACAAGTACTTCAGGAGAGGGGGTCAAGGGAACTGGAATGTACGCTGAGCAGGTTGGCTAAGTATACATGTTCAGCAGGTCATAGGAGGAGCGATGGAAACTCACAAAAGGGAGGCAAGGGCATGTGTAGTAGCTAACAGGCATGCAACGTGCTTCCCTGCTCACTTTGGAGAGGCAACTTAACATTTAAATGTATTACAAGTAGGCTCTAAACATCAAAAGGTAAAGCAGAGGACATGGAGGCCCTCTGTGTGCAGTGTCCGTAGACTGGCCAAAGCCACTCTGTGGCCAGCGGTCTCTCATCTGGAAGGAATGCTGGTCAGTCCTGTGTCAAAACTGTAAGGGAGGGGCAGCATGAGGGCTCGTTGGTATCATAGGTAGAGCCAGTCTTTCCAAAGGGCTGGTTTCTGTGTAACCCTTAAAGAGAAAGCCAGTGGCAGTCAGCAAGGGAGGCGGTGTAACAAGGCCGGCTGCCCTTCCCTCCTGTCATGGCCAGGAACTCAGTTTTTAAGGTTTCTTCAGGGTCCCCTTGGCCAAGAGGGGATCCGTTCAGCTGGGTGGGGGCTTAGAATTTTATTTTTATTTCTCAAATCTTACAGTTCATATATAATGAATGTTTCCTGAAATCTAGACAATATTGAACTTTACATAATGTGACCAATATTAAATTGAAAAGGGAAAGTAAAAAAATTCTCTAAATCTTCAATAATAAATTTTAATCAAACACACTAGAGAAAGGTCTGAATTATCTTTCTCTTCTCTCTATAGAAAATGGTACTGCAAAACTGTTGCATTTTGAGGAGATGATCAAAGAGGGTACAACCAAAATAGGTAAGAAAAAGTGTTTTAGAGATGCATCAGAAAGTTAATTGATAATAATTTTTTTTTTTAGATTTTGTGACATTTAAGTTATGTTGCAGATTTTTTACATTTGTAATTAGTTTGGTAAGTTCTTAATCATGCCTCTTCCTGTGATGTTGTGAAATGTATATGGTCTTCTGGTTTCTTGATTCATAGCTCCCAAAATCCTCGGGATCTCTGGAGTGATGAGTGGCTCTTGTATGCTAATGAGATGACTGGAGCCCCTCGATAGTCTCAGGTGGGAGGCTGTTTGCTGTTTTCAACCCTCCCAAGAGGGAAGGTTGAAACTTTCAGCCCACCTCCTACTCCCCCACACCTCAACCACCTCTCTCACTTCCAGGGAGGATAAAAGGGCTGAATATTGAGTGGATCACCAACAGCCAATGATATAATCAATCATGCCTACTTAATGAAATTTCCATAAAAATCCAAAAGGACTGAGCCCTGGGTCTTCCAGATAGCAGAACACGTACAAGCTCCTGCAGGGTGGTATATCCAGAGAGAGCATGGAAGCCCTGTGCCCCTTTTCCCATTCCTTGCCTTATGTATCTCTTCCATCTGGATGTTCATCTGTATCCTTTGTAATTTATCCTCATAATAAATGTGTAAATGTAAGAATTTCCCTGAGCTCTGTGAGCCACTTTAGCAAATTAAATAAACCCAAGGAGGGGGTTAGTGGAACCCTGGTTTGTAGCTGGTTGGTCAGAAGCACAGGTCACCACCTGCACTGCAATTGGCATCCGAACTGAGGGATAGACTTGTGGGAATGAGCCTTCAACCTGTGAGATCTGACACAATCTCCAGCTAGACAGTGTCAGAGCTGAATCGAATTAGAAGACACCCAGCTGGTGTCCACTGGAGAATCATCTGCAGAACTGCTTGGTATGTGGGGAAAAACTCCACACATCTGGGGTTATAGAAGTGTGAGTGTTGTGAGAGTATAGCAGGAGAAACTGAGTTTGTTTTTTCCTATGTCCTTACACTTCTAAAATTTCTCTTGCATATTCTCTCCTCTTGCTGATGTTAAGCCTTATTACTCTATCCTCTGTCTCTGACCCAGTCTTCTGTAGTTTTCCATTATTTGTCCTTATTATGTTTTATTCTGTTTTCTCCTAACCTGCTTTCTGATTATCCTTAATGACTCATCTGTCAAAGACAGCCAATGAGTTCTTAACTTTGATTACTGAATTTTTTGGTTTTCCAATTTGCCTTTGGTTTTTGTAGCATACACTACAACCTCTCATGTCTGCTAAAATTCTATTGTCTTTCATCTCCTTGAACATAGTAAAAAAATTATATAAAAGTCTGTATATCTATTAAACTTTCTATTTTCTTCTTCTATTTCTATTAAATTTGTACCTCCACTCTCTGGAGTCTTTGTGGCTCTGTTGCCATTGTTAGCTGTTTCAGCTGGTGTTTGTACACAGTGTCGCATCTCCTAGAAGTGTGGTTACTTTTTCATTGTATGCTAGATTCTGTAACCCAAAATTTCTCATAGAAATAATTTGAAGCTCAGGTGCTAACAAGATTGTAAAGAATTACCGAGCCAACTTCCAGAAGGGAGAATTGAGCTCAGCACTGGAGGTCCCTTTTTCATTGGAGGAATTTGCATGTTCCCGAGGGAGAAGCAAAGAGGTGGGGTGAAGCCACTGACTGCCTCATGGGGCTAAAGGACATGCTTGGAACTGCAAAAGGCTCTATGTGTATATGTGCATGAGTGTGTGTGTATGTGCACCTAGGACACAGCCCTTCAGTGCTCCAAGTCAAAGCAAGTGGAGGATTGGGATACACTTAGTTTGGGTTACATTTACACAGCTCATCATTACTTCCAGGTACAGTAAAATCATTGCTGCCATCCTGGTGTGGGCATAGCTTCCGGGAATGCTCAGAAAGCCCATTCTACTGATGCACCCAGCGTGTGACCCAAAGTGCAGAATCACAGGTCATCTCCCAGGCCAAACATCCTCCACAGCACAGGAAGTACGTCGGGAGGGAAGGGAATGAAAGTTTGAAAAAGAGTCAGAAGCCAGTCTGTCAAAAGGTTTTCCAAATCTTACAGCTTACATATGAGAAAAAGTTGACAGAAGTTATCCACAACTTGATAATAACACTAACACTTACATGACTTACCAATAATGAGTTGTAAAACTGAAAGAAAGATTTTCAACTTATCAATAAGAACCAAATTGTGATTGATTGTGCTAAAGACTGAATTTTCTCACTATTATCTCTATAGAAATGACATTACAAAACTGTAGTCAGAAAAAAGGCCATCAAACATTATACAGCAGAAAATATAAGAAAACAGGAATTACAGAGATTGGTTGGACAATTAAGTAATAAAGATATTATTTTCTTGGATTTTATGCTGTTTGTGGTATTTCACAGGTTTTGAAAGTGTGTAATTCACGGTAATTTCTTTTATCTTTCTAAATGATAACAATTGTGTACTTAATTTTGTATTTCTTCTTTCTGAAAGAGGACACCCACATTGTGTAAGCTCAGGCCCCTCTCAGCCTAACTCTGTACCAACGTATGCGTTTCGAAGGCTTTGTTCCATAGTTACTTGAGAAGGGATCCTCTAGCTCTCGTCATGCCACTTAAACTCCCTGGATTTCATTTTAGTCGTCTGTAAAACGAAGGAATTAGCCTAAAACTTCTGAGATCTGTTGCAGCTCTAAAAGCAAGGCCTCTGCAATGCCGTGAATCGTAGCAGTAAGATTCAGCAAGGCTTTCCTCACTGTGTGACCTTGTAAAATTATGTGTCCTGGTTTGACAGATGAGAAAAAAACTGACCCAGAACAAGAAAAAGCACGCACACAACTGCAGAACTCCAAAAGAGAGCAACCGAGACAGAAATCAGAGGGACGAACAAAACAGCAGGTGGCCAATTTGGCCACGTTCCAGGGCAAGGTGCTGGAGCATTTGGGCAAGACTATCAGGGCAGGTGGCCAAGGCCGGCTTTGCAGATCAACTCAACACCATCTCAAGGATATAAAATGGTTAACGGCAAAGAAAATGGAAGACAGCATTTCTTTGGACAAAGTTTTTAGAGTGCCACGGCAATTTCTGTCCCCATATCCAGAGGTTTGGAGTTCATATTTCTGCATAGAAGTAGGTCTTCTAATTATTAAAATCAAACTGTTGTGGTGACTAGAAGTGACTACAGGAGATTTTCTTTCTTTCATTTTTTTGTTGGAGATGGAGTCTCACTCTGTCGCCAAGGCTGGAGTGCAGTGGCACGATCTTGGCTCACTGCAACCTCCGCCTCTGGGTTCAAGCGATTCTCCTGTCTCAGCCTCCTGAGCAGCTGGGACTACAGGGCATGCCACCACGTCCAGCTAATTTTTGTATTTTTAGTAGAGATGGGGTTTCGATATTTTGGCCAGGCTGATCTCGAACTCTCGACCTCAGGTGATCTGCCTGCCTTGGCCTCCCAAAGTGTTGGGATTACCGGCGTGAGCCACCACACCCGTCCAAAGTCACACTCTTAACTTAATGGTTTAAAGATACTCGAGACAGAAATACTATGTAAATTATGCAGTGCTTTACAAATTTTAATTTGGATTACATTGCTTTTATGAGTCATTATATCAACAAATCTCATACTTAATAGATTTTATAGATCAGTATGATTTACAAATATTTTGAGAGGTAGGTATTAGGTTGCTAAGTCTTTATTTGCCAAGTAAAAACATTTTTTAAAATCCCATTGAGAGGTGAAGCTGGCTGGGCTTCTGGGTCTGGTGGGGACTTGGAAAACTTTTCTGTCTAGCTAAAGGATCGTAAACGCACCAATCAGCACTCTGTGTCTAACTAAAGGTTTGTAAACGCACCAATCAGGGCTCTGTGTCTAGCTAATCGGGTAGGGTACTTGGAGAACTTTTCTGTCTAGCTAAAGGATTGTAAATGCACCAATCAGCGCTATGTGTCTAGCTAAGGGTTTATAAATGCACCAATCAGCACTCTGTCAAAATGGACCAATCAGCACT